>NW_003571060.1:804915-987100 GCF_000001405.40 Homo sapiens | reverse complement strand
AAGCTTCAATCTTATCCTTTTAACCCTCAAACCTTTTAACCCAGTCCGACACCCAGCAGCGACTTAGACAATTGCATTAGAGCCTCTGGAAAACCAAGAGTTTAATCGTCCAGCCTTTACCCCTCTCGGGGGCCCAGAGATACTACCACTTCCTAACTTTCCCAGAAACTTGCCCCCAAGCCCTTGAAGTCCCAAGCCTGCTCCTCTGGGTCTCCAGGATCCCAAGCACCAGACTTGGGCTCTTCTTCAAAACCCAAAGGTCCAATTCCCCAGCCTCTCCCCTCCAATATCCAGGGCTCTGTCCTCCTAGGGAGCCCAGGCATGGTGCTTCCCAGGCCCTGGGAAAACAAACTGGCTTCTTCCAGCCTTTTGGGGATCCAGGGATCCAACCTCTCAGACTTTACCCACTCCCAGCCCCCTTCCTCCCTTAGGCCCAGGAATCCGGGTCTCCATTCCCAACTCCCTTAGCCCCAGAAGTCTGGGTCCCGCCCCCTCCCACCCTGCTCCTCCCTCTCTCCCAGCCCCGGCCCGCCCCATCACCATCTCACCCACCTGAGAAGAGCCAGGAAGACAGAAGGAAAAACACAGAAAAAAAGGGGGCGGAGTCAGCATCGGGAGCCCCCGGGACGCACCCCTCCTTGACCCCCTTGCCCTGCCCTGGGGCGGACACTCACCCATTGACAGCGACCTGGGGGGCGCTTTGCTGTAGGAAGTAAGACAGTCGGGTCAGGCGGGGCCAGGCGGACCGGCCGCGCCCCCGGACTTCCCAGCCTCGGCCCTGCTGTGTCGCTTGGGTCACCTGCCGGCGCCTCCGCTCGTGCTGTAGCTGTTTCTCAACTGGGTCCTCCCAGGCGCGGCTCTGCGGGTCAGTGACCGGCGGCTCCCAGCCGCTGAAGAACTCGGGTCTGTATGGGGGTCCCTCCTCCGGGGACAGCTCCAGCCTGCGGCCAGGGACAGGGCCAAGAGCTCAGGGATCCTGATACAGCCCCCAACTTCGTTCCTGCATTAACTTCACTAAGTTTTCCCCTAAAGCTCGCTGTATTCCAACGATTCTAGCCCCGCCACTTTTCACCAAGTCCTGCCGGTAGCTCTAAGCCCAACTCAACAGCAATTTATATTTCTAGACCGGGCACGGTGGCTCACGCCTGTAATCCCAGCATTTTGGGAGGCCAAGATGGGAGGATCGCTTGAGGCCAGGAGTTCCAGACCAGCCTGGGCAAAATATTGAGACCCCATCCATCTCTCTCTCTGGAAAAAAATTGCCTTATCCAGCCTCTAAATCTCACCTGATTCCAAATCAGGTTTTCCGTAAGGTCGGTTTCAGGTTCTGACCCTTTCCCTGCGGAACTGCCAGCCCGCAGTGCACAGACTCTGTCCCATCACCAAAGTTATAGACCAAACCTTCCAGAAGCCCCGCCCCTTCGCGTAGCCCCGCCCCTGCCCCGTAGCCCCTAGCCCCTCTATTCCTTTAAGCCCCCCTTTTCTTTCAATCCGATTGGTCTGGTGGTCTTAAATCTTTCCTTCACGTTAATTCCTGGCCTTTCCTCCAATTGAATCTTGGCATCTGTCCTAAGCCCCGCCCCAACACAACTAAGCCACGCCTCTAACCCCTCCCTACTCTCCTAGTCCTATTTTCCAATCATCATGCCACCCACCTCCCAGCGCCTTATGCTCCTCCAATCACCATGCCCCCTGCCTCCCAGCCCCGCCCCTCACCCGGGGCGGGTCCACGAGTCCCCCAGCGAGGTCCAGAGCTCGTTTTCACGTGGAGTGACGTTGTCCCGCAGCAGCGCCACGGCATCCGATGTCAGATGCGGCCGCCGCACACTGCTCGCGAACTCCGGCCCCCCCGACGTGTTCACAATCTGTCAGGGGAGCAGGAGGGGCAGGCTGTGCCGCCACACCTTCTACAAGTCGAACCCGATTCCTCCCGCTGCAGGGGGGCCCGAGGGCCTGGGGCGGGTCTCACCATCTGCAGAGGCCCGAAAAGGAAGTGCAACAGCTCCGGAGAGGAGGGGTCGGCGATGTTGCCGCGCAGCCGGGCCTGGGGCGTGGGGAGGGAGGTGGTTGGCGTGGGTGCGGGGACGGGACAGGTTCGTCGTGCCCGCGCCCCGGCCCAGGGGCGGGCGCGTCCTCACCAGCAGGCTGAAGGCGTACTTGATCTTCTGCAGCACGTCGGTGTACTCGGCCTCCGAGGGCGGCTTGGCCCGCAGCGTCAGCAAGCCCTCTGAGGGGAGCAGACGGGCGCGGCGATGGGGACGCGGGGCCAGCACCAGGCAGGCAGAGAGAGGTGGACACCCGGTTAAGATGGCGGTGAGGTCAGCCCTGGCAAGTGGCGGGAGGGGAGAGCCTGGGGAGAGCGGGGACATTTGGAAGAGATCGGGAGGGGGTTCAGATCCCACGCCAGGGTGCCCCTTACCCCCAGCCGCCCGGCGCCGGCTCCTGCGGCCGCGTTCCCGGTGCTCCAGCACCCTGGCCGCCTCCGCCGACTTCTGCAGCCTCGATACAAAGCTCTCTACGTCGTCGAACACGTGGTTCAGGATGTCCTAGGGGACAGAGGAGGGGGACGCTCAGGGCTCCCGAGTTCCAAAACCATCCCCGTCGAAGCCCTGAACCTGAGCACCTATACACTTCCCCAGATCAGGCCACGCCCCAAACACCTGGCCACGCCCCACAACCAAGCCCCGCCCCCGACCCAGCCCCTCTTCCATAACGCAGAAGTCTGACCAGAGAACGCCCGTCCCGCAGCCGGCCCCGCCCTTCCACGCCCTAGCCCCGCCTCCAGTCGCCTGGCCCTGCCCCCAGACCCCTTCCTTAGCGGCTCACCACTTCCCGCTCCGCCTGCAGAACCGCCAGGTCAGGACCCCGGGGACCCAGGTCCGGGGAGGCCGAGTCAGCGTTGCTCGAGGTCCCCACCGGCTCAGGCCTCTGCGCCTCCTCTGCCTCGGGAATGGGCTTCGCCTGGGGTCGTCCGCGGCCCGCGCCCCGCTCTACGGTGCTGATCACTGCGCGGACTGACGGGCGGCGCTGCAGGGGCGGGGTCTCAGCGGCGGGCGAGCGGTCGCGCTGCAACTCCTCCTGCGTGGCCCTGCGGAGGGCGACGGGGACACCAAGACTGGGTCCACTGAGGGGTCCAGGGAGGGGGAAATCCAGGGCGCAGAACGAGACACACAGGCTCAAAAGGCTCAAAGGGAGTGAACAAGTTCAACGAGGTAGGGAGAAATCCGATATACGGAGGGATAGCACCTCTCTAGAGTGAAACTGAGGGCCTGGACAGGGAACAGAGAAAAGAAGCAGAGTTCTGGAGAAGGGGTCAGCTCGTCTGGGAGGTACAGACAAGACTCGACTAGGGTGTGCTTGACTCCATGCAAAACTCTTGTTCTGTTCCAGGCTGGTGTTGTAGACTGAGGCACAAGGAGGGGAAACCGGCTTCCCAGAGACCCTGCCAACTTCTTCCCTCTCACCTGAGCGCCGCCGCCCTGCGCTCCCCGCGGCCCGAGCGGTAATTGTGCAGAGCCCCCTGGATGTCCTCTCGGATCAGCTCCGCCTGCCAATCACACCGTCAGGCCACGCCTCCCCACGCCGCACCCACTTCCTACCCGGGCCTCGCCCCTGGCCGATTTTTCAGCTCAGTCCCAGCCCACGTGCGGCTACCGTTCACACCTGTGAACCCACGCACGTCCACGCCCCGAACTCACCCCTCGCCCTACACCTGTCCCTGCCCTAAGCCACGACCCCGCCCATGGAGACCCAGTCCGGGTGGTTCCTCGCCCCCACCTCGTCCTGGCTGCTCCCCCAGATCCTTCTTGGCCATGTTCTGTTCATGTCCTCATCCCACCTTCATGTTCTATCTTGACCCTGGGTCCAATCTCAAACCCCACTGCCTTCCAGAACTTCCTTCCCAGGTCCCCTGCCCTTCCTTGCTCTGATCCCGCCTTAGCCCCAGGCCCCGCCCCACCTAGAGGCCCCACCCATTTCCGCCCCGGCTCCAGGCTCCGCCCAGTTCCAGCTCCACCCCCAGAGCCAGCCCATCTGCTCACCCCGAGGCGCAGGCCCTGGAAGAAGTGCACGTCGGGCTGCGCGCGCTCGGGTTCCTGGCACACGAGCAGCAGCAACGAGCGGCTCCTGCCGGGTGGCATCACCGCGTCACAGCGCACGATGGCGCCCAGTGGGTACGACTCCAGCTCCTCCTGCCGGGTGGGATGGCGGGGTAAACTGAGGCCCCGAAATGATGGTACTACTAAATGGCGACGGGAGTGTGGGCCAGCAGGTCAGGGCAACCTCAGGCGGTTAGGGGGTTAGGGATAACAGCCCTGTTTAATAGATGAGGCTATTAAGGCTCAAGAAGGGGGCTGGGGTCCCTCGCCAGAGTTCCCAGAGGAAGGACGTGCAGGAGCCAAGATTCACACCCAGACCCCCTGAAGTCCCTGCCCCAGACACTCCTCCCACCCACGTGCCCCCCGGCACCTTGGAGGCCGGGTCGAGCAGCGTGACATGGTCGGGAGACACTCGCAGCAGCATCTCCTGTGCCCAGACTCGGCCCTGGCTATCCATGACGGCCAACTTCCTGGAGGCATCCTCCACGGTATGCACGCCATCGTCCTCACCCAGGCAGAACGTCACCAGGTGCTGGTACGGACCATGGAGAAAGCAGTGAGGCCCAAGATGATGCCAGGTGGGCTCAGAATCCCCCAGAATAATCAGACTTTCAGCCTGAGACTAACCACACCTCCTCCAGGAAGCCTTCCTTGATCACCTGTTCCACAAATCAGCTCCTCCTCCCAGTGCCCTTTGTTTCCCTTTCATCAGAGTGACTAGCACCTGAGTCTGGCTTCTCACAGACTGGAGGCTCCTTGCGGGCAGGGAAGGAGTCTGGATTATAGCTCTCTCCTTCTAAATGCCTCCTCGGGTCTCCTGCCATGCCCCCTGCCACCTCCATTAGAGCACCAGGCGCCTCTGTGGATTCCTCTGGACCTTGTCTACCCCTTCCTCATGCAGGGCTGTGTCTTGATTTGCCTCCGTGGTCCCACTGTCCAGCACAACAGCTGGCCTGGAGGAAAGGCTGGCAGATTAAGTGGACCCGAGGCCCCTGGCTTCATATCCATGACTGAGGTGAGGCAACGGAGGTCCATTTTATGGATGGGCAAACTGACTTTCCACATGCTTCCTGCTTGGGGGCCTAGCTGCTTTCAAAAGCCCTATCTCCTGAGGCCACCTTTGCCCCAGAAGATGTCCTGGGGGAACACAGACCCCAGACTCACATTGACTGGGTACTGGGATACATCAGCCATAACAACTGTGGAGTAACGCTTCCTCTGCTCTGCCAGGGGAGAAAGAGAATGAGCCTGGGAGTCCAGGCCCAGCCCCTCCTCCATCAGACCCAGGAGTCCAGGCCCCCAGCCCCTCCTCCCTCAAACCTAGGAGTCCAGCCCCCCAGCCCCTCTTCCCTCTGACCCAGGAGTCCAGGCCCCCAGCCCCTCCTCCCTCAAACCCAGGAGTCCAGGCCCCCAGCCCCTCTTCCCTCTGACCCAGGAGTCCAGCCCCCCAGCCCCTCCTCCCTCTGACCCAGGAGTCCAGACCCCCAGCCCCTCTTCCCTCTGACCCAGGAGTCCAGGCCCCCAGCCCCTCTTCCCTCTGACCCAGGAGTCCAGGCCCCCAGCCCCTCTTCCCTCTGACCCAGGAGTCCAGCCCCCCAGCCCCTCTTCCCTCTGACTCAGGAGTCCAGACCCCCAGCCCCTCTTCCCTCTGACCCAGGAGTCCAGCCCCCCAGCCCCTCTTCCCTCTGACCCAGGAGTCCAGCCCCCCAGCCCCTCTTCCCTCTGACCCAGGAGTCCAGCCCCCCAGCCCCTCTTCCCTCTGACCCAGGAGTCCAGCCCCCCAGCCCCTCTTCCCTCTGACCCAGGAGTCCAGCCCCCCAGCCCCTCTTCCCTCTGACCCAGGAGTCCAGGCCCCCAGCACCTCTTCCCTCTGACTCAGGAGTCCAGGCCCCCAGCCCCTCCTCCCTCAAACCTAGGAGTCCAGCCCCCCAGCCCCTCTTCCCTCTGACCCAGGAGTCCAGACCCCCAGCACCTCTTCCCTCTGACTCAGGAGTCCAGACCCCCAGCCCCTCCTCCTCCAAGACCCTGGATGCCAGGTCCTGTTTCTTTAGACCCAGTTCTATGGGCCTGGGGCTCCCTTGCCCCCCGCTCACCATAGATAGACTTGGCGCTTGGCTTTGGGGCAGCTTCTGGGCTGGTGAAGAAAAGAGGAATGAGAGAGACTGTGGGACTGGGGGCAGATCCTGTGGAAATGCCAAGCAGGGCAGCAAGGGCTTCATGACGAAGGTAATGGGGAGCGATGGAAGGGTTATTATTATTATTATTATTATTATTATTATTATTATTATTGAGCAGGAGAGCTCAGAGCCAGAGCTGGACTTTAAGAAGACAGGTAGGCTGGGCGCGGTGGCTCACGCCTGTAATCCCAGCACTTTGGGAGGCAGAGGTGGGCGGATCACAAAGTCAAGAGATTGAGACCATCTTGGCCAACATGGTGAAACCCTGTCTCTACTAAAAATACAAAAATTAGCTGGGTGTGGTGGTGGGCGCCTGTAGTGCCAGCTACGTGGGAGGCTGAGGCAGGAGAATCACTTGAACCTGGGAGGCGGAGGTTGCAGTGAGTCCAGATCGTGCCACTGCACTCCAGCCTGGCAGCAGAGTGAGACTCCATCTCAAAAAAAAAAAAAAAAAAAAAAAGACAGGTCAGGTCAGGCGGTGGTGCTGGGTGGTAGGGGAGTGTGATCTCTACCATGGCATAGTCCGGGATTCAAACCCTCTGTCTACTGCCTCCTTGCCATAAGACCTTCAGAAGAGGATTTAATCTCTCCTGCCTCAGTTTTTCTTTCTGTAACGTAGTAACCATCTGGTAGGGCTGTTGGGCAAATTCAGTCAGATGATGCAGGTGAAGTATTTTGAAGCCTCAATAACTGTTATTATCATTCTTAAGATGCTGCCAGGGCTTAGCACACAGAAGTTGCTCAATAAATGGGAATGGTTATAATAGCATTAGTGGTATCTGAAGTAGACAGGGAATTATCTGCTTCCCCTCCCACTCCCATGGGCCAGGTGCTTCCCAACCACATCCTTCTCTGTCTCCTCCCGTCCTCAATTTCTTCCTAAGATTACCTTTCCTAAGAATTCTTGAATCCCCACTTGCATGCACATAACAGAAGCTCAGCGATCAGGTGGCGTCAGGGGAACTGAAAAACCCTTTTTCCCAAACTCCTGTTCCTCATCCTGCTCCTGCCAGTCTGATGTCACCACAATTTGATTACCTCTGGGCCAGAGAGCTCACTACCTACCATGCAGGTATTTTGACTCATCTCTCATTGTTTTTCTCCCTGCTTACTCTGGGGGACTTGAGTCTTCATTATAAACAGCCCTGATTTTCTAGCAAAGGGTTAATATTTACTAACAACATAACAATCGCAATAGCGACTCCTATGAGTTGAGCACCTGCTGTCAGTGAGGTGGTCAGCTAAGTCCTGTAATGCACTATCCCTCCAATTTTTCAACATTGTCCCTGTGTCACAGAGGAGGGGCTGAGGCTCCAGGAGGTGATGTCCTCTGACCAGGGTTACATCAGCACTGAGTGTGAGGGCCGAACTGGAGCTCAGGCCTGTCTGCTCTGCAGTGGGGGCCCCTAACCCCAGGCTGGGCAGGGAGGAGAGAGGCTCTGGCTTCCTCCTGAGTGTCGGGGCTTGGGCCAGAGTCTGGGCCGCCGCAAACAGTCTGGGCTGCCGCAAGCGGGTGTGGGTGAGGAGGCGAGGGGAGGCGGGAGGCGTGCTGGGGCTGGGACCTGGGGTCCGGGGGCGCTTACCCTGTGGCGGTGCTCATGGTGCTGAGTGGTAGCTCCTGCCCACCTGGAGGTGCCCTGGGAGCCAGCAAACATGTGAAGGCCTGGCCAGTAGGAGCCTCTAATTCCTACCCCAGCCTCCTCCCTCAATGCAGGCATCCAGGCCCCAGCCCCTCCTCCCTCAGGCCCAGGAGTCCAGGCCCCCAGCCCCTCCTCCCTCAGACCCAGAAGTCCAGGCCCCAGTCCCTCTTCCCTAGACCCAGGAGTCCAGACCCCAGTCCCCTCCTCCCTCAGACCCAGGAGTCCAGACCCCAGTCCACTCCTCCCTCAGACCCAGGAGTCCAGGCCCCATCTCCTCCTCCCTCAGACCCAGGAGTCCAGGCCCTCAGCCCCTCCTCCCTCAGACCTAGGAGTCCAGGACCCCAGGCCCTCCTCCCTCAGACCCGGGAGTTCAGACCCCCAGCCCGTCCTCCCTGAGACCCTGGAGTCCAGACCCCAGTCCCCCCGTCCCTCAGACCCATTGGTCAAGCCCCGGCCCCCTTCTCTCCTGACCCGGATCTCCTTACCTGCCTGCTCAGGCTCTGCCCTGCTCTCCGCTGTCCTTTCCCTTCCAGGCTGCCGGCCCCTCCTCCTGCTCCCTCCCAGGGCCGTCCTGCCTCCGCCTCCGCCTCCGCATACCTGAGCATTCACCTGGCACAGCCTGGCTGGAGTGACCCCGGGGCGGGGCTGGCAGACAGATCTAGGAGGGGCTGGGGGGACTGCAGGGGAGCTGGGAAACTAACTGTCTGCCTTGTAGCAACAGAATAATAGCAACGAACAGTACATTTGATGTCACACTTGTTCACAGGTCAGAGTTGAAAGCTCTGTCTTTAAAACTCCCTTGAAATTCTAACAGCGGGAGGAAGTTCGAGGTTTGATTCCTGCTTGACAGATGAGGAAGCTGAAGGCCAGAGAGGTTGAGCAACTTGTCCATTTCAGCACTTGGTTAAGGAGGGATTTGAACCCGGGGCTGACCTTCTGTCTCCAGGGCCAGTGGCAGCCCGTCTTCTATGGACACCTCCTGCCCACGATCACTGCCTCTGCTCATGCCCTTACCTCCCCACCCATCCCGTTCCACCTTCCTTTGGAAATTTCCCTCAATGACCCCCCTATTCTGACAAAAGCTAAGATTTAGCTCGATAATGCCTGGCCCAGCTCCAAGGACATCACAAAAATGAACAGGCTTTCCAGGCATAAACACCTTTCTGAAATCACTTTTCCAGAACTCCCTCCATGCTGTAGAGGTTACTAGCAAAGCTTTCCACATCATTTCTCCCCAGAGCCCCGTGAGGGGAGTGTGTCTGGGTGGGAGGCTGTCTTCGTCTCACAGATGAGAAAATGAGGAAGAGAAGGGTTAAGAAACTTGCATGGGTACAGTGGCTCACATCTCTAATCCCAGCACTTTGGGAGGCCGAGGCAGGCAGATCACCTGAGGACAGGAGTTCGAGACCAGCCCAGCCAACATGGTGAAACCCCATCTGTACTAAAAACACAAAAATTATCCAGGTGTGGTGGCGGGTGCCTGTAATCCCAGCTACTCAGGAGGCTGAGGCAGGAAAATCACTTGAACCCGGGAGGCAGAGGTTGCGGCGAGCCGATAATTGCACCACTGCACTCCAGCCTAGGCAAGAGAGCGAGGCTCCATCTCAAAAAACAGAAAACAGGCCGGGCGCAGTGGCTCACACCTGTAATCCCAGCACTTTGGGAGGCCGAGGCGGGTGGAACACGAGGTCAGGAGATCGAGACCATCCTGGCTAACACGGTGAAACCCCGTCTCTACTAAAAATACAAACAATTAGCCGGGCGTGGTGGTGGGCACCTGTAGTCCCAGCTACTCGGGAGGCTGAGGCAGGAGAATGGCGTGAACCTGGAAGGCGGAGCTTGCAGTGAGCCGAGATTGCGCCATTGCACTCCAGCCTGGGCGACAGAGCGAGACTCTGTCTCAAAAAAGAAGAAAAAAAAAAAGCTGACATCTTGCAAGGCCTTAAGGGACGTGATTCTGATCTCATCTCTTCCTTCTGTGTGTCAGCACACTGGCCTCCTTGCTGCTCTTGGAACATCCAGACCCGGTCCTGCCTCAGGGCCTTTGCACTTGCTGTTTCCTCTGCCTGGAATGCTCTTCTACCAGATACCCTCATGCCTCACTTTCTTGCCTCCTTTGATCTTTGCCTGAATGTCACCTTCTCAGAGGACTGGCTGACCACCCTGTTTCAAATGGCGGCATCCCTTACTCGACTTCTTTTGTTTTTTTTGAGACAGAGTTTCACTCTTGTTGCCCAGGCTGGAGTGCAGTGGCGCAATCTTGGCTCACCGCAACCTCCGCCCCCCCAGGTTCAAGTGATTCTCCTGCCTCAGCCTCCTGAGTAGCTGGGACTACAGGCGCGCGCCACCACGCCCGGCTAATTTTGTACTTTTAGTAGAGACAGCATTTCACCATGTTGGCCAGGATGGTCTCGATCTCTTGACCTCGTGATCTGCCCGCCTCGGCCTCCCAAAGTGCTGGGATTATGGGTGTGAGCCACCGCCCCCGGCAACCCAACTTCTTTGTAGTCTCTTTCCTCTCTCCCTACTTCATTTTTGTGTGGAGAACTTTTCACCTTCTTACCCACTGTGTTCCTGGTTCATTTTGTCTGTGTCTCCTCCGTTAGAATGCAAGCTTCACAGGCTGGGCACGGTGGCACATGCCTGTAATCCCAGCACTTTGGGAGGCTGAGGCGGATTGATCACTTGAGGTTGGGAGTTCGAGACCAACCTGGCCAACATGGTGAAAGCACGTCTCTACTGAAAATATGAAAATTAGCCGGGGGTGGTGGTGTACACCTGTAATCCCAGCTTCTTGGGAGGCTGAGACAAGAAAATTGCTTGAACCCCGGAGGTGGAGGTTGCAGTCAGCCGAGATCACACCATGTCACCAACATGATAAAACCCCATTTCTACTAAAAAAAAAAAAATTAGCCAGAGTTGGTGGTGCACACCTGTAATCCCAGCTTCTTGGGAGACCAAGGCAAGAGAGTCACTTGAACCTGGGAGGTGGAGGTTGCAGTGAACCGAGATGATCGTGCCACTGCACTCCAGCCTGGGTGACAGAGCGAGACTCCATCTTAAAAAAAAAAAAAGCGGCCGGGTGTGGTGGCTCACGCCTGTAATCCCAGCACTTTGGGAGGCCGAGGCGTGTGGATCACGAGGTCAGGAGATTGAGACCATCCTGGCTAACATGGTGAAACCCCGTCTCTACTAAAAATACAAAACAATTAACCAGGCTTGGTGGTGGGTGCCTGTAGTCCCACCTACTCCGGAGGCTGAGGCAGGAGAATGGCGTGAACCCGGGAGGTGGAGATTGCAGTGAGCCAAGATTGCTCCACTGCACTCCAGCCTGGGTGACAGAGCAAGACTCCATCTCAAAAAAAAAAAAAAAAAAATGCAAGCTTCACAAGGGCAAAGATTTTTGTGTGATCAGTCCTCCACTTAATCTGCAGCACACAGAATTGGGTCTAGCACATAGAAAGTGTTGGAGAGATACTTGTTGAGTAAACGAGCTTTTGGCATTTGGTGCATTCATGTGCATTACTGCTTTGTTGCTTCATTCAAGATATGTTGCCTCCACGGTCTATGCTGAGTGAGCCTGGAAATCAGAGAAGGCACATTTTTGCCTTCGATTGATGGGGATGAAGGAACAGAGAGAAAGAGATATAGTGTGGTCTGATGGCAGAGAGCCTCGGGCAGGTGTGGGTCTGAATCCTGGCTTTGCCACTTGATAATTTTGGAGATACTTATTGTGTGCTTATATCTTCTCAGTACATCATAAATGTGTGTGTGTGTGTGTGTGTGTGTGTATGCATAATCCTCACCACATCCTATGGAATGGGTCCTATTATCCCCATTTTTTTTCTTAATTGAGACAAGGTCTAGTTCTGTGGCCCAGGCTAGAATGCAGTGTCATAATCACAGCTCACTGCAGTCTCGACCTACTGGGGTGATCCTCCCATCTCAGACTATATATAAATATATATACACATATATATAGTAGAGTCTCCTTATGTTGCCCAGGCTGGTCTCCAACTCCTGGGCTCATGTGATACTCCTGCCTTATCCTCCCGAAGTGCTGGGATGACAGGCATGAGCCACCCACCACACCCAGCTTATTGGGAGGATAAAGTCAGGTTATAGAGAGTTGTCAATACAGTACCTGGCAAAGAGGAAACGCAAGGCTGGTGTTAGCAATGGCGAGGACGATGGCCTTTCTTCCCATGCGTGCTGCAAGGGAGGACACGAGGGGCTCTGCCAAGGCCAGGAGAGGCTGCTGAGGGTCAGGACAGGCTGCCTGGAGGAGGAGGACAGGCTGCCTGGAGGAGGAGGGCAGGCCAGGAATCACCTTGAAGGATGAGTTTGACAGCCAGTGTCAATCCTAGAAGATAGGGGTGTTCTGGGCCCTGCAACTGCCTGAGTGAAGGATGGGGGCTGCAGGGGTGGCCAGCGGGGCTAGACTGTGAGCTCCTGGCTACCCAGCAGGTGGTCCTGGTGCGTGTAGCAGCGGGTGGGGGAGGTAGGGGTGGAAGGAGGGCCCTTACGCTTCTCTTTCTTTGGCTTCTGCAATTCTGTGTTCTCATCACATTCATGCCACAAGTATTTTCTGTGCTTGACTGTACCTGAGTTGGGGTTTGAGGGAAGGAGCAGACCCCTTGCCCCATTGACAGGAGAAAACAGAGGCTCAGAGAGGGAAGTCAGTAGCCTAAGGTTACAGTGGCCCTGGGCTGTGACACAGATGCAGATCTGACTGGGCCTGGGCTCATTTCTTCATGAACAAGGGGAGAAAACTATCTCATAGAAGCATTTGGTATGGGTCCGAGGCCTTTGGGTCTGAGGGAGGAGGGGCTGGGGTCTGGACTCTTGGGTCTGAGGGAGGAGGGGCTGGGGGCCTGGACTCCTGGGTCTGAGGGAGGAGGGGCTATCTCATTGCTTTGGGGGTGGCGCAGGCGGCCCTCCAGGCCATGGTCTGGAGCAGCAGGTGAGACCGAAACCCGAGCCTCCACCCAAGTCCCAAGTCCCAGGGCCCAGGGCCTCTTTCCTCCTTCTCTGGCCGCAAAGGAGGCCCCTCCCTCTCTGTAACCCACAGCAAATGCCTCCCAAATACCAGTCAAAGTGTCCACCCCTGCACAGTCTGACTCAGCCAGTCCAGGGCGGAGGCAGTAAAGCCCTGTCTTGGCAAGTCACCAGGGAAATCCATCACCGAAGCACCTCTCTCCCCCCTCGGCCTGGCTATTCTGTCATTGGCACCTGTTCTTGGGTGAGTGACAGGGCTCTGTGGTCAGGGTTTGCCTCTGTCCCAGTCTGGGATAGCTGTCTTGGGGGGCTGGCCTTTCTTCCCTCTCACCTGGGATGTCCCAGGAACGGAACAGAATTCTCCCCTGGGGCTTGAAGAGCTCACCCCCCATCTCCTCCGTTATCCCCACCCCCACACCACCCAACACACATCCTCTAGTCTGTAGGATTTGCTGACAAATTCCTATGACAGCCGGATGTGGTGCCTCACACCTGTTACCCAGCATTTTGGGAGGCCATCACTTGAGATCAGGAGTTCGAGACCAGCTTAGCCAACATGGTGAAACCCCATCTCTACAAAAGTAGCTGGGTGTGGTGGCGTGCGCTTGTAGTCCCAGCTACTAGGGAGACTGAGGCAGGAGAATCACTTGAACCCGGGAGGCAGAGGTTGCAGCGAGCCATTGCGCCATGCACTCCAGGCTGGGTGACTGACTGAGATTCTGACTCAAAAAAAAAAAAAAATCCTATGACAAGGAGAAAGGTCAGATTCCCTGGCAATGGGAGCTGAGGCATGTTCTTGAGAAGGAGGGAGGTTATAAATTAGATGGGGCTGGGTCTCAGAGAGATATAGCTACTTACATATTAAATAATGAGGCTGAGTGTGGCGTCTCACACCTATAGTCCCAGTACTTTGGGAAGCAGAGGCAGGAGGATCCCTTGAGCCTAGGAGTTTGAAACCAGCCTGGGCAACATAGGGAGATTCCATCCCTACCAAAAAAAAAATTAAAAATTAGCCAGGCATAGTGGCCTGCATCTGTGGTCCTAGCTGCTTGGGAGGCTGAGGTGGGAGGATTGCTTGAACCTGGGAGGTCAAGGTACAGTGAGCCACGATTGCACCACTGCACTCCAGCCTGGGTGACAGAGCAAGACCTTGTCTCAAAAAAAGTAATTAATTTATTTATTCAATACGTAGCTCCTGAGACAAAATGTGTGCCGTACTCTAGACCCTGCTGGTGTGCACAATTCATGGGGGATATGTGCGCTAATGGAAGTGTGGCACAGGGCAAGGGTGTCCCCAGAGAAAGCCCTAATCCAGCTTTATGGGTGGTTGTATGAGGCACAGAAGCCTTTCCTGGTTAAGGGATAAATGGATGGGGTTTCAAAGGATGAATAGGAGTTTGCCAAGGACAATGAAGCAAAGATTGACATTCTAAGCATTGGGAGTGTCCTATGCAAAATCCCAAAGTGATGTAGTAGCAAATACTTAAGCACCTACAGTGTGCCAAGCATGTTTCATGTGCTGGAGATACAGAGGAGGAGGAGACAGATGAAACCCCAGCCCTTGTGATATTGTCATCCTAGTAGGTGTGGTGGGGAGATAAACAAGTAGACACCTGCATGAATAAGACTTTCAGATTGTGGTAAACCCTGTGGAGGAAACGAAACAGGTGAAGGAACGGCGTGACTAGGAGCAGGCAGGTGCGGCTGCTTCAGGTAGGGTGGTCAGGGAAGGAGGCGGCATCTGAGCTTTGACCTCAATTTCGAGAATGAGCCAGGAATGCAGAGAGGATTTCAGGCAGAGGAAACCTTAGGGAGGCTGGCGGGTTAAATCTGCAGGGGTGTGGCTGGCCGGAGGAAGTGAGGTGTGAGACAGTCACGTTGATGGTGACAGCAGCAGTGACCGTAGCAGCCTAGAGGTGGCCGAATGCTTACTCTAATGGGCTGGCCCATCCCTGAGTGTCTAGAGTTCCCAGCCCGCTTAAGGAAGGAAGGAAAACACAGGCAGCTCTAAGTGTACGACGAGGGAGGTCTCATCGGCGGTGAGGAAGCCCAGGCGGGTCCCCTTCCCAGCTGAAAGGGGTTCGGGTAGGTTTTTCCTGGGCGTTCCTCTGAGAACAGCCAGCCCTGGTGAGAGTGCGGGGAGAGGCGCTTATGACACAGGGAGGGTGGGTCTGGGAACCAGCCTGGCAGGAGGAGGAGGGAGACTGCCGGTGGCCGGGAGCTGTTTGTTCTCTGGGAGGGATCGTGGCGGGGTGGTTTGTGCAGCCCTTTCCTGAAACCGGAGGAGCCTGGCTCCTTCCCAGGTCTCTGGGGGATGGGTCGGGGCGGGGGGTGGTGACGGGGATAGGACCCCAGACAGACTTGAGTTTGGATCCTGGGTTGGAGCCGGTGACTTCACTCTCAGCTCCCTGAACATCAGGGCCTGCCTTTCTTCCCTCCCTTCCCCTCCCCTCCCCTCCCCTTCCTTCCTTCCTTCCTTCCTTCCTTCCTTCCTTCCTTCCTTCCTTCCCTTCCTTTCCCTTCCCTCCCTCCCTTTATTCTTTTCTTTTTTTCTTTTCTTTTCTTTCTTTCTTGACAGAGTCTTGCTCTGTCGCCCAGGCTGGAGTGCAGTGGCGCGATCTCGGCTCACTGCAAGCTCCGCCTCCCGGGTTCACGCCATTCTCCTGCCTCAGCCTCCCGAGTAGCTGGGACTACAGGCACCCGCCACCGTGCCTGGCTAATTTTTTTGTATTTTTAATAGAGACGGGGTTTCACTGTGTTAGCCAGGATGGTCTCGATCTCCTGACCTCGTGATCTGCATGCCTCGGCCTCCCAAAGTGCTGGGATTACAGGCCTGAGCCACAGTGCCCGGCCTCCTCTTTCTTTTTTTGAGACAGAATCTCACTCTGTCACCCAGGCTGGAGTGCAGAGGTGTGGTCTCGGCTCACTGCAACTTCCGCCTCCCAGGCTCAAGCGATTCTCCTGCCTCAGCCTTCCGAGTAGCTGGGACTACAGGCGCGTGCCACCATGCCCAGCTAATTTTTTGGTACTTGTAGTAGAGACAGGGTTTCACCATGTTGGCCAGGCTGGTTTCAAACCCCTAATCTCCAGTGATCTGCCTGCCTTGGCCTCTCAAAGTGCTGGGATTAAAGGCGTGAGCTACCGTGCCAGGCCGTGGAGTAGCTAAACTTATCTTACACTGCTGAGGTCTCTCAAGATGTGTGTAGGGAGAGAGAGTTGGGGGGAGAGAGAGAGACAAAGGAAAAGAGGAAGAGAGAGACAGGGAGAAAGAGAGGAAGAAAGAGAAAGAGAGAAACAGGAAGAGTGAGAGGAGAAAGAGAGGAAGGGGGAGAGAAAGAGAGATGGGGGAGAAAGAGAGAGAGAGAAGGAGACACAGGAGGGGGAGAGAAAGAGGGAGAGAGCAATGAGAGAGATATGAGACAGAGAAGAGAGAGAGAGGAGACACGGAGGAGGGGGACAGAAAGAGGGAGACAGAGAGATGAGAGAGAGAAAAGACACAGATGAGGGGGAGAGAAAGAGGGAGAGAGAGATGAGAGAGAGATTGATAGCACCCAGCTAATCAATCAGTGGCTTTAGTG
This sequence comes from Homo sapiens, assembly GCF_000001405.40. Taxonomy (NCBI): domain Eukaryota; kingdom Metazoa; phylum Chordata; class Mammalia; order Primates; family Hominidae; genus Homo; species Homo sapiens. The sequence goes on along the minus strand of NW_003571060.1, from coordinate 970,610 downwards.
CCATGAGCTGGAAGGGAGGAATGGATACTGGGGAACAGTTGGTTGACTTTCCCTGGTGGGACAGCCCCTCTTTCTAGAACTACCTTTCCTATGTCCCCTGTGCTTCTCTCCAGTCCATACTCTACATCTCAGCCAGAAAAGAAGAAATTCTAAAACATGTATCTGCCCGTGACATGACCCTCCTTGGCTCAACACTCTTCAGCGGTACCCAGCGCCCTCTGAGTCAACGCCAAGCTTCCTACCATGGCATTGGAGCCGCGCTCTGGGTCCTTTTACTGATGGCTCCCGCCTCAGCCCTTCCACCCCCTCCCATACCCTGCATGCCAGCCCAGGCAGCCCTCCCTCCTCCCACAATATCTCTCATATGCATTCCTGTCCCATGCCTTCTGCTTAAGCTGTTCCCACAGCCCGGAGTCTCCTCCCTGGCTGAGGGAAATCTTGCCGGCTCACATGGCCGTGATCCCCATCATTTCCTGCAGAAAGCTTGCCCAGCTCTCCGACACGGGGACCTTCTGCCCCTCCTGAGCCCTGAGTCCCCTCCATCTTAACTGGGAGGTCACCTGTTTGCGTGGTGTCTGCTCAGCTTGCAGGCAAGGCCACCAACACCCTCCTTTCCTGTCTTTCCTTCCTACCATCCTCTCCTGTCCACCCTCTGCCTCTCCCTCCCTTCTTCTCTTCTTTCCTTCTAGTTACTGAGCCATGCATGTGTTGCATGCAGCAAGGATGAATAAAATAAAATAAACCTACAGCAATCATTCCAGTTACTATGGCCATATAACAAATTATTCTAAAACTCAGTGGCTTCAGACAAGGATCATATCTATTTTACTCAAAAACCTACCATCTGCACAGGCCTTGGTGGAGGCAGCTTATCTGTGTGCCCTTTGGTGATGGCTGGGGCTGTCAAGAAGCTGGGGCAGTGCTTGGGCTGCAAAGACTCAAATGGCTGGAGTCTGGGACCACTGGAGCTCCTTGCCCCCCTTTGCTTATCTCTACACAGCCACAGGGTCGCTAAACTTACCTTACACTGCTGAGGCCTCTTAAGATGTGTGTAGGGAAAGAGAGTTGGGGGGAGAGGGAGAGAGAGAACAGAGAGAGAGAGACACACACAAGAAGAGAGAGAGGAAGAAAGAAGGAGAGAGAGGAAGAGGAAGGGAGAGGAAGAGAGAGAGAAAGAGAAAGAGGGAGAGAGAGAGGAGAGAAAGAGACAAGAAGAGAGGAAGAAAAAAGAGGAAGAGAGGGATAGAGGAAGACAGAAGGAGGGAGAGGGAGAGAGGAAGAGAGAGGAAAGAGAAAGGAAGGGAAAGAGAGATGTGAGAGAGAGGGAGAGAGAGAGAGAAAAGAGGACAGAGGAAGAGAGAGAGGAAGAGAGAGGGAGAGAGAGGGAGAGAAGACAGAGAGGGAGAGAGGAAGAGAAAAGGAGACAGAGAGAGGAGAGATAGAGAAGAACGAGAAAGGAGAGACAGAATGTGAATGAGAATTGGGTGCCATAAACCCTCTGATGGGGAAAGCAAAGGGCATTGTGGGAGAATCCTCTCAGCACCTGGGACAGCACCCAGTGCTGATCAGGAACATGTTAACAACCAGGAAAATGGTAAAGGCGTGGACAGCCCACCTGGAGTCCAAACAGATGTTCTAACTCCCTTGGGTGTGTCTGGGAATCAGGTAGGAGATCCTCAGAGGAGGAATATGCATGCATTGTTCTCTTTATAATAACCATATTAACAGCCAGCAATGTTCTGGCACTTACTATGGATTAAGTCCTTGTTATGAATGACTTCATGCCATCCTTCCAAATTCAATGACAGGTAGCTGGGCGCAGTGGCTCACGCTTTGTAATCCCAGCACTTTGGGAGGCTGAGGCAGGTGGATCACCTGAAGCCTGGAGTTCAAAACCAGCCTGGCCAACATGGTGAAACCCCGTCTCTACTAAAAATACAAAAATCAGCCAGGTGTGGCGGCGAGCGCCTGTAATCCCAGCTACTCATGAGGCTGAGGCAGGAGAATCGCTTGAACCCAGGAGGCAGAGGTTGCAGTGAGCTGAGATTGCATCACTGCGCTCCAGCCTGGGCATCGGAGAGAGACTCTCAAACAGGAGCTGGCGAACTGTGGCGCACTGCTTATTTTTATAAATAAAGTTTTATGGGAACACAGCTGTGCTCACTTGTTTTCACATCATCTGTGGCTGCTTCCCAGCTCCTCTGGCAGAGGAGGTGCAACAGCCACTGTGTGGATCACAAAGCTGAAATTATTTACTATCTGGCTGTTTGTAGAAAAAGTTTGCTGATCTCTGTCCTGGAAGTCAATGATATTAGGATTTCAGTTTACAGAAAAGGAGAAAAAGACAGGGAAAAACAGTGTTGTTTTTTTTTCAAGGTTGAGAAAATGAACATCTGAACCAATTGCCCATGTTATTAAATGTAAACATTTATTATTATTATTTTTGAGATGGGGTCTTGCTCTGTCACCCAGCCTGGGGTGCAGTGGCACAATCACAGCTCATCATAGCCTTGACCTCCTGGGCTCAAGCAGACCTCCCACCTCAGCCTCCCAAGTAGCTGAGGGTGCAGATGCGTGCCACCAAACCTGCTAATTTTTGTATTTTTTGTAGAGATAAGGTTTTGCCGTGTTGTCCAGGCCGCTCTCAAACTCCTGGGCTCATACTATTCTCCACTTTGGCCTCCCAAAGTGCTGGGATTACAGGCATGAGCCACCATGCCCAGTCTAAAATTTTTCTTTATTTTTAGTTTGGTAAACTATGCATAAAGTAAAATGTACCATCTTAACCATTTTAAGTGTACAATTCAGTGATGTTAAGTATATTCACATTGTTGTGCAACCATCACCACCGTCCACCTTCAGGTCTTTTTTTTATTTTGCAAAACAAACTCTGTATCTATTAAAAAACAGCTTCCCGGCCGGGTGCGGTGGCTCATGCCTGTAATCCCAGCACTTTGGGTGGCCGAGGCAGGTGGATCACCTGAGGTCAGGAGTTTGAGACCAACCTGGCCAACATGGTGAAACCCCGTCTCTACTAAAAATACAAAAATTAGCCGGGTGTGGTGACACGTGCCTGTAGCCCCAGCTACTCGGGAGGCTGAGGCAGGAGAATCGCTTGAACCTAGGAGGCAGAGGTTGCAGTGAGCTGAGATCGCCCACTGCTCTCCAGCCTGGGTGACACAGTGAGACTGTCTCTCAAAAAACAAAACAAAACAAACAAACAAACAAAAACAAATCCTGTGACTTCCCAATCTCATCTCCAGCCCCCTGCAGCCACCACTCTGTTTTCTGTCTCTATGAATTTGACTCCTCCAAGTGCCTCTTATACAGCATTTGGCATTGTGTAACTGGTTTAATACGTTTGAGATGGTGAGAGCTTAAGGTCTACAGGCCTAAGGTTTTTTTTTTTTTGACAGAATTTCACTCTGTCGCCAGGCTGGAATGCAGTAGGGCAATCTCGGCTCACTGCAACCTCCACCTCCCGAGTTCAAGTGATGCTCCTGCTTCGGCCTCCTGAGTAGCTGGGACTACAGGTGAGTGCCACCACATCCAGCTAATTTTTGTATTTTTAGTAGAGACAGGGTTTCACCATGTTGGCCAGGCTGGTATCAATCTCCTGACCTCGTGATCCATCTGTCTCGGCCTCCCAAAGTGCTGGGATTACAGGCGTGAGCCACCGTGCCCGGCCATTGACTAAGGTCTTAAAATAGCTCTTCCTGCCTGTATAATCTCCATTATGGCAGGGCTCATATAAGAAGATGACAGTTCATCTGATGAGGAAGAAAACTTACTCCTAGTTAGATTGGGTTGAATTCTTCCCTGTTTCCAGCGGTGTCTGCTCCTGGCACCTCAGGCACAGTCAGGGGTAGGAGGTGGTGATCAGATACACTCGCTGTGAGCAGTGCAAGGGGAAGCAGGTGCCCAGAGGTGCATCCCGGTTTGGTGGGGGTGACAAACATGGACAGGTAAGTGCAGGAGTGTGTGCAATACTCAATCTAAGAAAGGTAGTTCAGGCAGAGTTCAGGGAAGATATCTCTGTGCAGGGCCAGACATGGGGATGAGATTCTGATAATTTGGGAATGAATCAGGCCCCCAGCCCCTCCTCCCTCAGACTCAGCAGTCCAGGCACCCGGCCCTCCTCCCTCGGACCCAGAAGTCCATGCTCCCAGCCCCTCCTCCCTTGGACCCAGGAGTCCAGGCCCCCAGCCCCTCCTCCCTCAGACCCAGGAGTCCAGGCCCCCAGCCGCCTTCTCCTGCAGGACCCCAGGAGCTTGGGTACCCACAGGCTACTAGATCCTTGTTTCTGTGCATGGAAATTCTCAAATTATCTCCAAAAGTCTATGAAGAAGGTAAACACACATTTCCAGATGAGGGAATAGGCTGATATAGTTGAAAGACACACAGAGGGTCACAGTCTGGAATTGACAGTGGTGGGATTCGAACCTATTTCACTCCAGAACTGCGTAGCGCCTTATACGCTGCGGCAAGTGTGACGTCATTCGAACAAACCATAGGCCCCGCCCCCGGACTAGCCACGCCCACAGGCTCCTGAAACCACCAATCCCAGCTGTGACAGCGCTCAGGACCGATGCTCATAGGTCCCGTCCCTAGGATCCCCGCCCCCTCCGCCCGCGCCCCGCCCCTCGCAGCCCAGTTCCGGACGCGGGCCCAGCCGCGCCTGCGCCTCCGCTCGCCTGTGGCTGCGTCGCGCGCTCTTCCTCGGAGCTACCCAGGCGGCTGGTGTGCAGCAAGCTCCGCGCCGACCCCTGACGCCTGACGCCTGTCCCCGGCCCGGCATGAGCCGCTACCTGCTGCCGCTGTCGGCGCTGGGCACGGTAGCAGGCGCCGCCGTGCTGCTCAAGTGAGTACATTCTAGCCCCGCGTGCGCGGTCAAGGCGGGCCCCCAGCGCAGGGGCCGGGAAGGCGGCGGAGACCCCCGCCCCTCGCACCCGGGTCCAGGCCCCGTAGCTCCCGACCCGCAGTGCCCGCCCGGAGTGGGGCAAACCTGCGCTCTGGCCGGCCAGGTCACCGGCCCAAGGTCACTCGGAGGGAAGGGCGAGCCTGGGCCCTTGTAAATGTTGCTTTCCTTCCAGACTTTTAAACTCTTTATTTTGTTGTTTTGTATTATTTATTTGTTCGTTTATTTTTAAAGGCAGAATCTGGCTCTGTCGCCCAGGCTGGAGTGCAGTGGCGCGATCTTGGCTCACTGCAGCCTTGACCTCCTGGGCTCAGGTGATCCTCCCACCTTGGCGTCCCCAGGAGCTGAGATCACACGTGCGCCACCACGCCCGGCTAATTTTTGTATTTTTCGCAGAGACGGGGTTTTGCCATGTTGGCCAGGCTGGTCTCAAACACCTGCCCTCAGGTGATCCGCCTGCCTCGGCCTCCAAAGTGCTGGGATTACAGACGTGAGCCACCTCGCCCAGCCTACTTAATTTAAACTTTCTTAAAAATTAGCCTCTGTGGCTGGTGGCCACTGTATTGCATGGTGCCCTTCTCTCCTGTGGGTGCAGTGCTGTTTACCTGCTCAGCCTCCTGTTGCTGGACACTATCTTGTTGCCAGCGTTAGCCTCTGTGGGACATGGGTGTGGTGGGCAGAGTCGTGACTCCGTAGAGGGGTCCACGTCCTAATCCTCGGAAGGTGTGACGACATTACCTCACGTGTCAGAGGTTCTCGCTGATGTGTTAAGTGAAGCATCTTTTTTTTTTTTGAGACAGAGTTTCGCTGTTGTTGCCCAGGCTGGAGTGCAATGGCACGACCTCGGCTCACCACAACCTCCACCTCCCGGGTTCAAGCGATTGTCCGGCCTCAGCCTCCTGAGTAGCTGGGATTACAGGCATGTGCCACCACGCCTGTCTAATTTTGTATTTTTAGTAGAGACGAGGTTTCTCCATGTTGGTCAGGCTGGTCTTGAGCTCCCGACCAAAGGGGATCTGGCCACCTTGGCCTCCCAAAGTGCTGGGGTTACAGGCGTGAGCCACCGTGCCCGGCCAAGTGAAGGATCTTATGATTATCATGTAGTCTTTTTTTTTTTTTGGAGACAGGGTCTCTCTGTCACCCAGGCTGGAGTGCAGTCATGCTGTCACAGCTCACTGCAGCCTCACCCTCCCTGGGCTCAGGTGGTCCTCCCACTTCAGCCTCCCGAGTAGCTGACTCTACAGGCGTGCACCACCAAGCCCTGCTAATTTTTGTATTTTTAGTAGAGATGGGGTGTCAGCATGTTGGCCATGGCTGGTCTCGAACTCCTGACCTCAAGTGATCCTCCTGTCTTGGCCTCCCAAAGTGCTGGGATTACAGGTGTGAGGCACTGTGCCGGTCCTGCCTTGTAGTCTTATAGGGTCCTTATAAGAGGGAGCAGGAGGCTCAGTCAGAGGGGAGATGGAAGATAGAAGGAGAGGTTGTTGGGTGTGGTGGCTCACGCCTGTAATCGCAGCACTTTGGGAGGCCAAGGCAGGCGGATCACAAGGTCAGGAGTTCGAGACCAGCCTGACCAACGTGGTAAAACTCTGTCTCTACTAAAAATACAAAAGAAATTAGCCAGGTGTGGTGGCATGTGCCTGTAATCCCAGCCACTCAGGAGGCTAAGGCAGGAGAATCGCTTGAACCTGTGAGGCGAAGGTTACAGTGAGCTGAGATTGAGCCACTGCACTCCAGCCTGGGCGACAGAGCGAGACTCTGTCTCAAAAATAAATAAGTAAATAAATAAATAAATAAAGGAGAGGTTCCAGTGAGGATGCAGGTTGAAGATGGAGGCGGGGCCAAGAGTGGAGGAATGTGGCGGTCTGTAGGAGCTGGAAGTGGATTCTTCCCTAGAGCCTCCAGAAGGAACCTGACTCTACCAATACCTTGATTTATTCCAGTGAGACATGTTTTGGACTCTTGACCTGCCGAACTGGAGGAGGATGCACTTATGTGGTTTTAAGCCACTAAGTCTGTGGTAATGCGTACAGCAGCCTTGGGAATCTCGTGCAGCGGGCATTTTAAATTTAAATTTAAATTTTTTTGAGACAGAGTCTCGCTCTGTTGCCCAGGCTGGCACCATTTCGACTCACTGCAACCTCCGCCTTCCAGGTTCAAGCAATTCTCGTGCCTCAGCCCCCTGAGTAGCTGAGATTACAGGTGTGCACCACCACGCCTGTGAAGGGGTGGCCTGCCCCTCCACACCTGTGGGTATTTCTAGTTGGGTGGGACGAGAGACTGAGAAAAGAAATAAGACACAAAGTATAGAGAAACAACAGTGGGCCCAGGGGACCGGCGCTCAGCATACCAAGGACCTGCACCGGCACCGGCCTCTGAGTTCCCTCAGTTTTTACTGATTATTATCTTCATTATTTCAGCAAAAAGGAATGTAGTAGGAGAGCAGGGTGATAATGAGGTCAGCAAAAACCATGTGAGCAAAAGAATCTATGACATAATTAAGTTCAAGGGAAGGTACTATGCCTGGACGTGCACGTAGGCCAGATTGATGTTTCTCTCCACCCAAACATCTCAGCGGAGTAAAGAATAACAAGGCAGCATTGCTGTAAACATGTCTCGCCTCCCGCCATAGGGCGGCTTTTCTCCTGTCTCAGAATTGAACAAATGTACAATCAGGTTTTATACCGAGACATTCAGTTCCCAGGGTCAGGCAGGAGACAGTGGCCTTCCTCTCTCTCAACTGCAAGAGGCTTTCCTCTTTTACCAATCCACCTCAGCACAGACCCTTTACGGGTGTTGGGCTGGGGGACGGTCAGGTCTTTCTCATCCCACGAGGCCATATTTCAGACTATCCCACGGGGAGAAACCTTGGACAATACTCTGTGTTCAAGGGCAGAGGTCCCTGCAGCTTTCTGCAGTGCATCGTGCCCCTGGTTTATTGAGACTAGAGACTGGCGATGACTTTTACCAAGTATACTGCTTGGAAACATTGTGTTAACAAGGCACTTCCTGCACAGCCCTAGATCCCTTAAACCTTGATTTCATACAACACAGGTTTTTGTGAGCTCCAGATTGGGTCAAAGTGGCTGGGTCAAAGCTACAAATTAACAACATCTCAGCAAAGCAATTGTTCAAAGTACAGGTCTTTTTCAAAATGGAGTCTCTTATGTCTTTCCTTTCTATATAGACACAGTAACAGTCTAATCTCTCTTTTCCCTACACATCTGGCTAATTTTTGTATTTTAAGTAGAGACGGGGTCTCGCCATGTTTGCCAGGCTGGACTCGAACTCCTGACCTCAAGTGATCCGCCCCCGCCCCCCCCCACCCCCAAAACTTTGGCCTCCCAAAGTGCTGGGATTACAGGTGCAAGCCCCCTCACCTGGCCGGGAATCTCATGCAGTGAGCATTTATAAAATAATGACTGTCACTTGCTGAAGGCGTTCCACACGCCAGACACTGGGTGGAGCCACTTATGGAGAACATGACAGAGGTCCCTTGGTGTGATGTGATGATGTCTGTGTTTCAGTTGGGGTATGTGAGTGAGCTCAGACAAGGTTGCCTGAGATCATTCAGTCAGGGGCACGTGGGGTGAGAGTGGGCCCACAGGACTGACCGTGCCGCTTCTCACCCTCAGGGACTATGTCACCGGTGGGGCTTGCCCCAGCAAGGCCACCATCCCTGGGAAGACGGTCATCGTGACGGGTGCCAACACAGGCATCGGGAAGCAGACCGCCTTGGAACTGGCCAGGAGAGGTAAAATCTCCCCTGCTTTGGCTCTCAGAGAGATATCTGTACATCCATGCTCACTGCAGCATTATTCACAGTCCGGAGGTGGAAGGAACCCAGGCACCCATCCACAGATGAACAGGGAAACAGAATGTGGCTTCTATAGACAGGGGCATATGATTCAGCCTTAAAAAGGAAGGGCATTCTGGCCGGGCGCGGTGGTGCACGCCTGTAATCAGTACTTTGGGAGGCCAAAGCTGGCGGATCACGAGGTCAGGAGTTCGAGACCAGCCTAACCAACATGGTGAAACCCCCTCTCTACTAAAAATACAAAAATTAGCCAGGAGTTGTGGTGGGCACCTGTAGTCCCAGCTGCTTGGGAGGCTGAAGCAGGAGAATCGCTTGAACCTGAGAGGCAGGGGTTGCAGTGAGCAGAGATGGCGCCACGGCACTCCAGCCTGGGTGACAGAGTGAGACTCAAAAACAAAACAAAACAAAGCAAAACAAAAAAAAGGGCATTGAAACAGATGAACCTTGAGGACATTCCATGAAGTGAAATAAGCCAGTCGACAGAAGAGCAAATACGGTATGATTCCACTTACAGGAGCTACCTACAGTTAAATTCATAGAGAAGTTGGAATGGTGCTTGCCAGGGGTCAGGAGGGGAGGGGAGAATGGGGAGTTACTGTTTAATGGAAACGGAAGTTTAGTTTGGCAAGATGAAACAATTTGAGAGATGGATGGTTGTAATGGTTGCACAACATTAGGAATTATTATTATTGTTTTTTTTTTTTTGAGATGGAGTTTTGCTCTTGTCGCCCAGGCTGGAGTGCAGTGGCATGATCTTGGCTCACTGCAACCTTCGCCTCCCGGGTTCAAGCAATTCTCCTGCCTCAGCCACCCGAGTAGCTGGGATTACAGGCATGCAACACCACACCCAGCTAAGTTTGTAATGTGTTGGCCAGGCTGGTCTTGAACTCCTGACCTCAGGTGATCCACCTGCCTTGGTCTCCCAAAGTGCTGGGATTACAGGTGTGAGCCACCATGCCCGGCCCAGCCATAAATGTTTTTAATACCAATGAACTGGACACTTAAAAATGGCTAAGAGGGCGGGTCTCGGTGGCTCACATCTATAATTCCAGCACTTTTGGAGGCTGAGGCAGGAGGATCACTTGAGGCCAGGGGTTCCAGACCAGCCTGGACACCATAGCAACACCCCCATCTCTACCAGAGTTAGCCAGGCATGCTGGCACAGGTGGTACCTATAGTCCCAGGTCACTTGAGCCTAGGAGTTCAAGGCTGAATGAGCTGTGATGGCGCCAGCACTCCAGCCGCGGCAGCAGAGTGAGACTGACTCAAAAAAAAAAAAATAATAATAAACAAAAAGAAAAGGGGGTTAAGATGATAAATTTTAAGTGATTTGTATTTTACCACAACAAAAAAAATTGGAGGCTGGGCATTGTGGCTTATTTGTAATCCCAGTACTTTGGGAGGCCGCGGGGTGGATCACCTGAGGTCAGAAGTTCAAGACTAGCTTGGCTAACATGGTGAAACCGCTGTCTCTACTAAAAATAAAAAAATAAAAAATTAGCTAGTTGTGGTAGGTGCCTGTAATCCCAGCTACTCGGGAGGCTGAGGCAGGAGAATTGCTTGAACCCAGGAGGTGGAGGTTGCAGTGAGCCGAGATTGCGCCACCGCACTCCAGCCTGGGTGACAGAGTGAGACTCCATCTAAAAAAAAAAAAAAAAGGAGAGGATGGGGAATCCTCTTGCCTTGGCCTCCCAAAGTGCTGGAATTACAGGTGTGAGCCACCGTGCCCGACCAATTCAGTGATGTTTAGTATAGTCACAGAATGATGCAACCATCTTTAAAATCAATCTTAGAACATCTGTTACCCTAGAAAGAAACCTGCTCACTGTAACTATCAAGCTGTAATTCCCTCTCCCCACCCCCTGCCCTAGAAAACCAAGAATCTATTTTCTTTCTCTATGGATTTGCCTATTCTGGGCGTTTCATAGGTGTGAAATCATATACATAGAATTCATGTAAATGGGATTGTACGCTGTGTGGTCTTTCGTGTCTGGTTTCTTTCCCCGAGCACAGTGTTTCTGACGGTCATCCTTGCTGTAGCATGAGCCAGTGCTTCACTCCTTTTCACGGCCGTCTAATATTCCATCTCTATGGATGGACCACATTTTGTTGTCCCTTCATCCACAGATGGGCATTTGGTTGTTTCTACCTTTTGGCTTTTGTGAAGAATGCCGCAGTGAACATTGGTGGATGTGTTTTTGTGTAGACGTATGTTTTCATGTCTCTGGGGTCAGTACCCAGGAGTGGATTATTAATTTAAATCTTTTTCCATCCTGGGTTTTCAGGAGGCAACATCATCCTGGCCTGCCGAGACATGGAGAAGTGTGAGGCGGCAGCAAAGGACATCCGCGGGGAGACCCTCAATCACCATGTCAACGCCCGGCACCTGGACTTGGCTTCCCTCAAGTCTATCCGAGAGTTTGCAGCAAAGATCATTGAAGGTAGGAGAACGCTGGCCATGTGGGATGAGGACTGGGATAGGCGGCTCCCAGGGCCAGGCTCTGAGAAGTGAATGAAGCAAGCAAACTTTAGAGCAGAGTTTTGGCAAACTATGAGTTAGGGGCCAAGTCCAGTTGCTGCCTTTTTTTGTACAGCCTGCAAGCAACGACTTTATTTATTTATTACTACTGTTATTTTGAGAGGGAGTCTCACTCTGTCGGCCAGGCTGAGTGCAATGGCGCGATCTCGGCTCACTGTAACCTCTGCCTCCTGGGTTCAAGCGCGGACCTCAGCCTCCTGAGTAGCTGGGATTAAGATGCCTGCTACCATACCCTGCTAATTTTTGTATTTTTAGTAGAGACGGGGTTTCACCACGTTGGCCAGGCTGGTCTGGAACTCCTGACCTCAGGTGATTCTCCTGCCTCAGCCTCCCAGAGTGCTGGGATTACAGGCGTGGGCCACTGCGCCCGGCTGACTTTGTTTTGTTTGTTTGTTTTGAGACAGATGGGGTCTCGCTCTGTTGCCCAGGCTGGAGTGCAGTGGTGTGATCTTGCCTCACTGCAACCTCCGTCTCCCGATTTCAAATGATTCTCCTGCTTCAGCCTCCTGAGTAGCTGGGATTACAGGCACCCGCCACCGTGCCTGGCTAATTTTTTGTGTTTTAGGTAGAGACAGGGTTTCACCATGTTGGTCAGGCTGGTCTCGAACTCCTGACCTCAGGTGATCTGCTTCCCTTGGCCTCCCAAAGTGCTGGGATTACAGGTGTGAGCCACCGTGCCCTACCTGAATAATTAGTTTGTTTGAGACAGGATCCATCTCTGTCACCCAGGCTAGAGTGCAGTGGTGCAGTCATGGCTCACTGCAGTCTCAACCTGCTGGGCTCAAGGGATCCTCCCACTTCAGCCTCCCAAGTAGCTGGGAGTACAGGCATACGCCACCACACACAGCTAATTATTGTTTTATTGTTTTGTTTTGTTTTTAGAGCTGGGGTTTCACCATGTTGCTCAGGCTGGTCTCCAACTCCTGGGCTCAAGTGATCCACCCAGGTCAGCTTCCCACAGTGCTGGGATTACAGGCGTGAGCCACCGCACCTGACCTTATTAAGCATTTATTGATCAAGTGCCTTCCCCACCATGGTTAAAGAAATATGTGTTTGTTATGGGACATTTATAAAATACTGCAATGTAAAGAAGACAGAACTGGCTGGGCACAGTGGCTCACGCCTGTTAATCCCAGCACTTTGGGAGGCTGAGGCAGGTGGATCCCTTGAGGTCAGGAGTTCGAGACCAGCCTGGCCAACATGGTGAAACCCTGTCTCTACTAAAAATACAAAAATTAGCCAGGCGTGGTGGTGCACACCTGTAATCTCAGCTACTCAGGGTGCTGAGGCAGGAGAATTGCTTGAACCCAGGAGGCGGAGGTTGCAGTGAGCTGAGATTGTGCCAGTGCACTCCAGCCTGGGTGACAGAGTGAGACTCTGTCTCAATAAAAAAGAAGACAGAACTAAACAACTTTGATCTGCACCAGCCCCAGGAGAATCACTTTTATGGATCTTTCTAGTCTTGTTTATAATAGGTTTGTGTGTGTATTTATATATTTTTATGTAAAACTGGGACCATCCTCTAGCTTTTCTATTCTTGTTCATCTTTAAATAGACTCAAGAATACACTAAAATTATTTATTGTTTAGTTGACATGTATACTTGTATATATTATGTACAGCATGATGTACATTGTATACATTGTAGAATGGCTAAATCAAGCTAATTAACATATGCATTACCTCAAATACTTACCTGTTTTTGTGGTGACCACATTTAAAATCTCTTCTCTTAGGATTGCTTGAGCTCAGGAGTTAGAGACCAGCCTAGGAAGCATAGTGAGACCTTGTGTGTACCAAAGATTAAAAAAAAAAAAAAATTAGCCGGGCATCCTGGCATGTGCCTACAGTCCCAGCTACTCAGGAGGCTGAGGCAAGAGGATCACTTGAGCCCGAGAGTTCAAGGCTGCAGTGAGCCGTATTTGTGCCACTGCACTCTAACCTGGATGACAGAGCAAGACCTTTTTTTTGAGATGGAGTCTTGCTCTGTCACCCAGGCTGGAGTGCAATGATGCGATCTTGGCTCACTGCAGCCTCCGCCTCCTGGGTTCAAGCGATTCTCCTGCCTCAGCCTCCCAAGACTATAGGCGGGTGCCACCATGCCCGGCTAATTTTTGTATTTTTAGTAGAGACGGGGTTTCACTATGTTGGCCAGGCTGGTCTCGAATTCCTGACCTTGTGATCCGCCTGCCTCAGCCTCCCAAAGTGCTGGGATTACAGGCATGAGCCACCATGCCCAGCTGCTTTGTTTCTTTTCTAGTCTGGCACTGAAAGGGCCAAAGCTTTCTTCTTCAGAGTCAATGTGCCCCGCTCAGTAAACGGGTACTCAGGAAATGAACAAGGAATGGGGGAGTTGTGGGACCTCATTTATTTAGCAGACGTGATCTCAGACCTGACCAGGTGCTGGAGGTGTGAGATGAACCAGAGCTGTCCTTGTGCCACTCACAGCCCTAGGGAGGCAGGTGCAGGTGCACATTCGTTGGTTCATTCATTCATTCATACTGAGCCCCTGCTGTGCCCTTGGGGATCAAGAAAGAGCCGGCACTGTTGTCGGGTAGGTGAGAGGCACTACGGTGAGATCACAAAGAACAGTGAGAGGGCAATGCCTCAGAGTCTCAGAGGTGGATGAACATTTATTAAGCACCTGCTGTGTACCAGGTACAGCACTGTCACCTTCATGCACACTGTCCCAGGCAATCCCACCCAGGGCGCCTCTGATCCTGTCTCTGGCTTGTGGACACAGGTGTCCGGAGCACTGAGGTCCCTGAGACAGTGAGGACCCCGGCTGGACACACCTGGGCAGGTGATGCCTCCTCTCTTAGCCACACGTTCCTCTTCCGGGAAATGGAATAATTCCTTCTATTTTCTGGGATTCTCTAGAGGGGTTTTTTTTTTTTTCTGAGACGGTATCTTGCTTTGTCGCCCAGGCTGGAGGACAGTGGCACATCTCGGCTCACTCCAAGCTCCGCCTCCCGGGTTCATGCCATTCTCCTGCCTCAGCCTCCCGAGTGGCGGGGGACTACAGGCGCCTGCCACCACGCCCGGCTAATTTTTTATATTTTTTACTAGAGACGGGGTTTCACCGTGTTAGCCAGGATGGTCTCGATCTCCTGACCTCATGATCCAGCCACCTCGGCCTCCCAAAGTGCTGGGATTACAGGCATGAGCCACCACGCCCAGCCTCTCTAGAGGATTAAGTAAAGCTGTGTCTGTGACTTTTTTAGCAAATCAAGTACCAGCTTCTTGGTGTTTTCCTAAGATCAACAGCCAGGAATAAAGACAGCAGTGGATTTAAAAATAGTGAAGATCGTCCATTTTATGTGGTGTGTATTCTACCACACTGGGGCAGGCCAGGTGCAGCGGTTCACGCCTGTCATCCCGGCACTTTGGGAGACAGAAGTTTTGGGAAGATCAGTTTGTGAGATGACACTCTGACAAAGCTGGAAGCTGTGGCTCTTCCCAGCTCCCGACTAGAAAGAACACAAAGCAAAGAGCCCCAGGAAGCAGGTACCCACAGCCTTGTTTATCAGGGAGTTTGAGATCAGCCTGGGCAACATAGCAAGACCTCATCTCTACAAAAAATACAAAACAATCAGGCAGGCGTGCAGGCTCACGCCTGTAATCCCAGCACTTTGGGAGGCTGAGGCGGGCGGATCACAAGGTCAGGAGATCGAGACCATCCTGGCCAACACGGTGAAACCCCGTGTCTACTAAGAAACACAAAAAAATTAGCCGGGCGTGGTGGCGGGCACCTGTAACCCAGCTACTTGGGAGGCTGAGGCAGGAGAATGGCGTGAACCCGGGAGGTGGAGCTTGCAGTGAGCCGAGATGGCGCCACTGCACTCCAGCCTGGGTGACAGAGTGAGACTCCATCTCAAAAAAAAAATAAAAAACAATGAGGCAGGCGTGATGGTGTGCACTTGTAGTCCCAACTACTTGGGAGGTGGAGGTGGGAGGATTGCTTGAGCCTGGGAGGTTGAGGCTGCAGTGAGGGATTTTTTTTTTTTTTTTTTAAGACGGAGTTTTGCTCTTGTTGCCCAGGCTGGTGCAATGACGGGATCTTGGCTCACGGCATCCTCCACCTCCTGGGTTCAAGTGATTCTCCTGCCTCAGCCTCCCGAGTAGCTGGGATTACAGGCATGCGCCACCACGCCCGGCTAATTTTGTATTTTTAGTAGAGACGGGGTTTCTTCCTGTTGGTCAGGCTGCAACCTCCATCTCCTGGTTTCAAATAATTCTCCTGCCTCAGCCTCCTGAGTAGCTGGGATTACAGGCACCTGCCACCATGCCCGGCTACTTTTTTGTTTTAGGTAGAGACAGGGTTTCACCATGTTGGTCAGGCTGGTTGACCTCAGGTGATCTGCCCGCCTCGGCCTCCCAAAGTGCTGGGATTACAGATGTGAGCCACCACGCCCGGCCTGCAGTGAGCTTTGATTGTACCACTGCACTCGGGGTGAGACCCTGTGTCCAAAAAAAAAAAAAAAAAAAAAAAGTTGAGGCAGTTCCCAGATAAACAAAACAACAGGCCAGGCACTGTGGCCCACGCCTGCAATCCCAGCACTTTGGGAGGCCGAGGTGGGCGAATTGCCTAAGCTCAGAAATTCGAGACCAGCCTAAGCAACATAGCCAAACCCCATTTCTACAAAAAATTTTAAAAGTAGCTGCTTGTGGTGTCGGGCGCCTGTGGTTCAGCTATGTGGAAGGCTGAGGTGGGAGGATCGTTTGAGCCCTGGCGGCGGAGGTTGCTGTGAGCTGAGATCGCGCCACTGCACTCCAGCCTGGGCCACTGAGTGAGCTTCCCTCTCATAAAAAGAAAAAAAAAAAAACAGGCTGGGCGCGGTGGCTCACACCTGTAATCCCTGCACTTTGGGAGGCAGAGGCGGGTGGATCACGAGGTGAAGAATTCAAGACCAGCCTGACCAAGATGGTGAAACCCCGTCTCTACTAAAAATGCAAAAATTAGCAGGGTGCGGTGGCGGGCACCTGTAATCCCAGTACTCGGGAGGCTGAGGCAGCAGAATCGCCTGAACCCAGGCGGTAGAGGTTGCAGTGGGCCATGGGCCAAGATCACACCACTGCACTCCAGCCTGGGTGGCAGAGTGAGACTTCATCTCAAAAAAAAAAAGAAAAAAAACCAAAACAAAACACCAGAAGCTGGCGGCACTCCTGGGCGCCCAGCTGTGAGTGGAGTCTCCCTGTCCCGCCTTTGGGCCTTACCCGTGCTGCGCCTGCTGCCTGCATCCCCCTTCCCTGGGTCTCCGCACGTGGGCCCTGCCTCATTTTCCCGGTCCCAGTTTCTGCGTCACCTCCTGAGAGGGGCCTCCTGTCAGCTTCCACGCAGCTCTGTCACGGGTAGATTCTCTCACGAGTGGAAGTGGCTCTCAGCTGCACTGGAATGTCCGGTCCACACGGACGGGGCCTCGGCTGTGCTGTCCACCCTGTATTTCCAGTGCCCAGTAATAGGTGCTTAGAAAATACTTACTGAATGAGTAAGTATACAGTTGTACCAGGCAGGTGATGTTATTATCCTTTTTTTTTTTTTTTTTTTACAAGGAGTAAACTGAGTCACAGAGAAGTGATGTGACTTGGCCAGGATCATGCAGCTGGTCGGGGTGGAGCCAGGCTTTGAACCTGTCTGTCCTGCTCCAGAGCTGGTATTCATGACGGGTGTGCTGCAACCCCCTCCTTCTCACACAGAGAACCAGATGGTGTCTGTGTGTTACGCGCTGGACACCTAATTCACGATCCCCGCCGAAAACCACTTCGGGAGCATTATGAATTCCATTGTGTCCTCCACCCCCAAGGATAGGTTGGGATCCTGAACCCCCATCCCTCAGCATGTGACTTCATTTAGAGGTGGGTGTTTACAGAGGTCCTGAAGTGAAAATGAGGTCATTAGGGTGGGCCCTAATCCAGTGACTGGTGTCCTTATGAAAAGGGGAGATTTGCGCACAGAAACAGACGTGCTAGCTGGGCATGGTGGCGCATGCCTGTGGCCCCAGCTACTTGGGAGGCTGAGCAAGAAGACTGCTTGAGCCTGGGAGGTTGAGGCTGCAGTGAGCAGTGATTGCGCCACTGTACTCCAGCCCAGGTGTCAGAGGGAGACCCTGTCTCAAAGAAATATAAAAAATAGGCCAAGTAGACTGAGTGTGGTGGCTCACGCCTGCAGTCCCAGCACTTTGGGAGGCTGAGGTAGGTGGATCACGAGGTCAGGAGTGTGAGACTAGCCTGGCCAACATGGTGAAGCCCCGTCTCTACTAAAGATACAAAAAATTAACCCGGTGTGGTGGTGGATGCCTGTAGTCCAGCTACTTGGGAGGCTGAGGCAGGAGAATTGTTTGAACCTGGGAGGCAGAGGTTGCAGTGAGCCAAGATCGCACCATTGCACTCCAGCCTGGGTGACAAGAGTGAAACTCCATCTCCCCCCCCCAAAAAAAAAAAAATAGGCTGGGGGCAGTGAAATTGCAGCACTCTGGGAGGCCAAAGCAGGAGGATTGCTTGAGTTCAAGAGTTTGAGACCAGCCTGGGCAACATAGTGAGACCATGTCTGAAAAATCTAAAATTAAAAAAGGAAAAATGAAAAAAAAAAAAGAGACAGCTCCAAAGGGAAGAGGAAGGGAAGAGGGAGAGAGGAGATGGTCACCTGTGAGCCAAGGAGAGAGACCAGAGCGGATCCTCCCTGAGGGCCCTGAGAGGGAACCAGCCCTGCCCACACCTTGATCTGGGACTTCCAGCCTCTGGGACTGTGATTTTTTTTTTTTTTTTTGAGATGGAGTTTTGCTTTTATTGCCCAGGATGGAGTGTAATGATGCGATCTCGGCTCACTGCACCCTCTGCCTCCTGGTTTCAAGCGATTTTCCCGCCTCAGCCTCCTGAGTAGCTGGGATTACAGGTGCATGCCACCACGCCTGGCTAATTTTGTATTTTTAGTAAAGACGCGGTTTCTCCATGTTGGCCAGGCTGGTCTCAAACTCCTGACCTCAGGTGATCTGCCCACCTCGGCCTCCCAAAGTGCTGGGATTACAGGCGTGAGCCACTGTGCCCGGCCAGGTCTGTGAGGTTTTAAACCACCTGTCTGTGGCACTTTGTTACGGAACCCGAGCTGAGTGGTACAGGGAGGAAGGCCCTGTGGTTCAGCGCATTTTACAGCTGAGGAAACTGAGGCTGCAGTCTCCATCTGTGTGTCCTTTGGTTGCTTGTATGAGTGAGGTGGCAGGTTTGGGAATGAAACCACGCCTGCGGTGCCGGGGCTCCCACCGGTAACCTCCCGTTTTTGGCCTCGGGGCTCCGGCAG
The DNA here is from genome assembly GCF_000001405.40 of Homo sapiens. NCBI lineage: Eukaryota > Metazoa > Chordata > Mammalia > Primates > Hominidae > Homo > Homo sapiens. The sequence goes on along the minus strand of NW_003571060.1, from coordinate 952,043 downwards.
GAAGGAGTCCCAAGGCTTAGATGGAGGTGCGGAGGGCGTGTGAGTGTCCTGGAGCTGCTGTAACAATGTACTGCAAACCCAGTGGCTTACACCCTCAGACGTGCATTCCCTCACGGTTCCGGAAGCCGGCAGTCTGAATCGCGGTGTCCCTGTGGCTGTGACCTGTGAGACGGGCCATAATCCTCCCAGCCTCTTCCACTTCCAGCGGGGGCGGCCCACCCTCACCTTGGAGCTGTGCCTCTCCGGTCTTTGCCTCTGTCCACACATGGCCTTCTCCCCATGTGTCTCTGTCTCTGTTTTCCCTTCCTATAAGGACACCAGTCATTGGATTAGGGCTCACCCTAATGACCGCATCCTGACATGGCCACTTCGGCACAGACCCTGTTTCCGGCACAGGCCACATTCACAGGTTGTGGGAGCACAGGAGTGTTTCTGCTGGTGCATCAGGCTGGGGTCTGTCCTCACCGGGATGTCTCCTCCTCCACCCCTCTCTTCCAGAGGAGGAGCGAGTGGACATTCTAATCAACAACGCGGGTGTGATGCGGTGCCCCCACTGGACCACCGAGGACGGCTTCGAGATGCAGTTTGGCGTTAACCACCTGGGTGAGGCCTGGGCAGGGGCTGCACCATGGGTTCAAGCGATCCTCCCCCGTCGTCCTCCCAAAGTGCTGGGATTTTAGGTGTGAGTCAAAAGTGACCTTTTCATCATCCTTAATCCAGGTCACTTTCTCTTGACAAACTTGCTGCTGGACAAGCTGAAAGCCTCAGCCCCTTCGCGGATCATCAACCTCTCGTCCCTGGCCCATGTTGCTGGGCACATAGACTTTGACGACTTGAACTGGCAGACGAGGAAGTATAACACCAAAGCCGCCTACTGCCAGAGCAAGCTCGCCATCGTCCTCTTCACCAAGGAGCTGAGCCGGCGGCTGCAAGGTACGGGGGCGCTAGGCTCGGCCTCCCTCTTGCTTTACTCTGAGCCTAGAGCGGCCTTTCCATGATCCTAGGCTGATGGGAGGCCAAACGGTGGATCCAGAACAGAGTCAGCAAAAGTAGAGCATGTGGACCACGCTGCCCGCTTCTGGTGCCTGAAGCAGACATCACTAATCGATCGTTCTTCTGAGGATTGTCTGTTCATCCCAGGTGGTCTAGTCTGCCTGGATCAGATGTCCTTCCCTGCTGCTGTTGGGCAGGCAGCTCAGCCTTTTGGCTCCAGCCAGTGAGTCTCAACCAGGGGCAGTTTTGACCCGCAGTTGTCAATGCCTGGAAACACAGTGATCACAGCTGGCTTGGGGAGAGATTGCTCTGGGCATCTGGAGGGTAAAGGCCCAGATGCTCTCAATGTCCTACAGCGCACGGGATGGCCCCTCACTCCTCCCAACCCACAGCATCCACAGTGCTGAGATTGAGAAATCTGTGCTAGGCCTTTGCTTCTGAAAGACGGTCTGTGGACCAGCGGTGCCAGCCCCACTGGGAGCTGGTCAGAGTTACAGTATCTTAGGTCCCACCGCCACGCACCGATGCAGGCTCCCGGGGTAAGCTCAGCGTTCTGGGTTTATGAAGCCCTCCAGGAAAGCTCGGCTCCCAGCAGCCATGTGGCAGAGCCGCTCCGCAAGATAAGACCACTTCACTAAGATTCCAGAGCAAGAGGGACGATGGGGTTTGAGTGCAGGAAGCAGCCTGGTGCCCGGAAGCCCCACAGCTGGGTGTGGGCTGCCACAGCCTCCCAGGTGAGGCTGGACCCCTCCCTCAGTCTTCTCTTTCTTTCTTCCCCAGGCTCTGGTGTGACTGTCAACGCCCTGCACCCCGGCGTGGCCAGGACAGAGCTGGGCAGACACACGGGCATCCATGGCTCCACCTTCTCCAGCACCACACTCGGTGAGTCCCCTCCCAGCCTGGGGTCTCCACGTGGAGCCCTCCACCCCTGCTTTCTCAGCCCAGGGCCCAGGACCCTCCCTCAGAGACCGTCCCTGAGGCCTCATGCCTGCTCCTCGCCTACGTCTTCTGAGGCACAGAGCACAGGTCCCTTTCCTCCGTTGACCTGGCCTGCCAGCCTCTAACAGCCCCGGGAAGCAGGCAGAGCCCTGCTGGCGGATGAGAAAACCGTGTCTCAGAGGAAGAGGCCGTGGAGCTGACGCCTGGAGTCAGGCTGTACTCAGGGTAACTCCAGCTTCACCCCAAACCAGCTGCACCTCCTGGGGAAGAGCTGTTACCCCTCTGAGCCTGTTTCTTCATCTGCAGAGTGCAGGCCTTAATAGGACTCACCTCACAGTCACTGGGGGGGTTATACGAGACCTTCCTTGAAAGGGCCAGCACAGGACCCCGCCCAGAGAATAGGTGGAACAAACAGTTGGAGCTTTACTTACTTATTTTTGAGATGAAGTCTTGCTCTGTCGCCCAGGCTGGAGTACAATGGCATGATCTCCACTCACTGCAACTTCCACCTCCCAGGTTCAAGCGATTCTCCTGTCTCCAAGTAGCTGGGATTACAGGTGCACACCACCACACCCAGCTAGAGGTGGGGTTTCACCATATTGGTCAGGCTAGTCTCAAACTCCTGACCTCAGGTGATCCAACTGCCTCCCAAAGTGCTGGGATTACAGGTGTGAGCCACCACCCCCAGGCAGTTCATGCTTTATGACTAGTGTTTATAATCCTGAAAAACATGGAGTGGGTGATTGGTTGGCATCAAGAATCTTAACTTGGCGAGGCTAATAGCCACGCCTGTAATCCCAGCACTTTGGGAGGCTGTGGTGGGCGGATTACCTCAGGTCAGGAGTTCGAGACCAGCCTGGCCACCATGGTGAAACCCCGTCTCTACTAAAAATACAAAAATTAGCCAGGTGTGGTGGTGTGCACCTGTAGTCCCAGCTACTCAGGAGGCTGAGGCAGGAGAATCGCTTGAACCCGGGAGGCAGAGGTTGCAGTGAGCTGAGATCACACCACTGCACTCCAGCCTGGGTGACAGAGCAAGACACCAGGTCTCAATAAATAAATAAATAAATGTCTTTTTTTTTTTGAGACGGAGTTTTGCTCGTCACCCAGGCTGGAGTGCAGTGGCACAATCTTGGCTCACTCCAACCTCTGCCTCCTCGGTTCAAGTGATTCTCCTGTCTCAGCCTCCCAAAGTAGCTGAGATTGCAGGCGCCCACCACCACACCCAGCTAAGTTTTTATTTTTAGTTGAGACAGGGTTTCACACGTTGGCCAGGCTGGTCTTGAACTCCTGACCTCAGGTGATCCACCTGCCTCAGCCTCCCAAAGTGCTGGGATTACAGGCGTGAGTCACCACGCCCAGCCCTTTTTTTTTTTTTTTTTTGAGACGAAGTCTTGCTATTGTCACCCAGGCTGGAGTGCAATGGTGTGATCTTAGCTCACTGCAACCTCCGCCTCCCAGGTTCAAGGGATTCTCCTGCCCCAGCCTCCCGAGCAGCTGGGATTACAGGCACCCGCCACCACACCCAGTTAATTTTTGTATTTTTAGTAGAAATGGGGTTTCACCATGTTGGCCAGGCTGGTCTGGAACTCCCGACCCCAGGTAATCCGCCCGCCTCGGCCTCCCAAAGTGCTGGGATTACAGGCCTGAGCCACCTCGCCTGGCCAAAAAAAGATCCTTAACCTGAGGCTGGTGCCAGGTGCATTTAATAAGATGTTATTAAAGGAGAAATGGGGTAGGGTGAGGACTGGGGCTGACCAAGAGGAAGAGAGCTTCCATTTTCCTGGACAAAGCCAGGAAGGCTCCTTGGGGGAGGCAGCTTTTGGTCTGATCCCTGGTCTGGTGGGATTTGCCTGGGCAGTGCCAGGGAAGGGAACTGCAGATGGAGGCAGCCAAGGGGAAAGGGCTAGAGGAGGGCTCTGTGGGACTCCAGGGACCCGGAGCTCCCTGACCGGGGAGCGGGGCTTCCTTCCTTCTCTCTGAGCGAGTGTGGACTAAATGCCCTGTGGGCTGATTGCAGGGCCCATCTTCTGGCTGCTGGTCAAGAGCCCCGAGCTGGCCGCCCAGCCCAGCACATACCTGGCCGTGGCGGAGGAACTGGCGGATGTTTCCGGAAAGTACTTCGATGGACTCAAACAGAAGGCCCCGGCCCCCGAGGCTGAGGATGAGGAGGTGGCCCGGAGGCTTTGGGCTGAAAGTGCCCGCCTGGTGGGCTTAGAGGCTCCCTCTGTGAGGGAGCAGCCCCTCCCCAGATAACCTCTGGAGCAGATTTGAAAGCCAGGATGGCGCCTCCAGACCGAGGACAGCTGTCCGCCATGCCCGCAGCTTCCTGGCACTACCTGAGCCGGGAGACCCAGGACTGGCGGCCGCCATGCCCGCAGTAGGTTCTAGGGGGCGGTGCTGGCCGCAGTGGACTGGCCTGCAGGTGAGCACTGCCCTGGGCTCTGGCTGGTTCCGTCTGCTCTGCTGCCAGCAGGGGAGAGGGGCCATCTGATGCTTCCCCTGGGAATCTAAACTGGGAATGGCCGAGGAGGAAGGGGCTCCGTGCACTTGCAGGCCACGTCAGGAGAGCCAGCGGTGCCTGTCGGGGAGGGTTCCAAGGTGCTCCGTGAAGAGCATGGGCAAGTTGTCTGACACTTGGTGGATTCTTGGGTCCCTGTGGGACCTTGTGCATGCATGGTCCTCTCTGAGCCTTGGTTTCTTCAGCAGTGAGATGCTCAGAATAACTGCTGTCTCCCATGATGGTGTGGTACAGCGAGCTGTTGTCTGGCTATGGCATGGCTGTGCCGGGGGTGTTTGCTGAGGGCTTCCTGTGCCAGAGCCCAGCCAGAGAGCAGGTGCAGGTGTCATCCTGAGTTCAGGCTCTGCACGGCATGGAGTGGGAACCCCACCAGCTGCTGCTACAGGACCTGGGATTGCCTGGGACTCCCACCTTCCTATCAATTCTCATGGTAGTCCAAACTGCAGACTCTCAAACTTGCTCATTTAAAAGAAAAAAAAAAGAAGAAAATGTACCCGAGTCGTAGATTTTATTTTTCCTCTGTGCATGGGTGAATGCCCATGAGCTGAACAAAGGCAACTCATGGCTTTATTCCTTTTAGGAAACAAGGCATCAGTTTATCACCAGGGCAACAGGCCATGCAAAAGTTCAGACTTGGCCGGGCGCGGTGGATCACGAGGTCAGGAGATCGAGACCATCCTGGCTAACACAATGAAACCCTGTTTCTACTAAAAAAATACAAAAAATTAGCTGGGCATGGTGGTGGGCGCCTGTAGTCCCAGCTACTCGGGAGGCTGAGGCAGGAGAATGGTGTGAAGCTGGGAGGCGGAGATTGCAGTGAGCCGAGATCATGCCACTGCCCTCCAGCCTGGGTGACAGAGCAAGATTCCGTCTCAAAAAAAAAAAAAAGTTCCGACTTTTTAGAGATGAAAGCCCCTTTCACCTGTTTCACAGGAAATAACCGTTTAAGTCCGGGCATCTTACAAGACTGCTGTGTTAGAAACTGGATAGAGATCAGGGTGAGATGAAGGGGCTCTTAGCTTAGGTGCAGAACCGAAGGAGGCACCGAAAAGCTCAGTAATCGAGATAGAAAACATGTTTTCATATTTGAGATACTGGGGAGGCCAGGGATGCTACTCAATATCCCACAGTACACAGAACAGCCACCTAGTCTCGCTCTGTTGCCCAGGCTGGAGTGCAATGGCATGATCTCAGCTCACTGCAACCTGTGTCTCCCATGTTCAAGCGATTCTCATGCCTCAGCCTCCCGAGTAGCTGGGATTACAGGCGCCCACCACCACACCTGGCTAATTAAAGACGGTATCACCATGTTGGCCAGGCTTATCTTGAACTCCTGACCTCAGGTGATCCACCCGTCTTGGCCTCCCAAAGTGCTGGGATTATAGGTGTGAGCCAGTGCACCCAGCCCTTTTTGCTTTTTTAGAGACGAGGTCTTACTGTGTTGCCAAGGCTGGAGTGCAGTGCCGTCACAGCTCACTACAACCTCGACCTGTGATTCTCCTGCCTCAGCCTCCTGAGTATCTGGGACTACAGGTGCATGCCACCACACTTGGCTAATTATTTGTAGAGGTGGCAACATAACATTTGCTATGTTGCCCAGGCTGGTCTCAAACTCCTGGGCTCAAGTGACCCTTCCGCCATGGCCTCCCAAATTGTTGGGATTACAGGCATGAGCCACCGTACCTGGCCTTAGTTTTCTTTCCGATGCCACACCAAATGGCTAGAGGGTGTGTTTGGGATGACCTGAGTCTGGTAGGCAACTTCCAGTGGACCCCACGGTGCGACCACCTCCCTTTGAGTGTGGGGGAGATGTAGCGACTGGCTTCTAGCAGTAGGATAGGGCAGAAGTGACAGTAGGTTAGTCTTGTGGTTAGGTTACAAAACTGACCTCTGTGATGGTAGCGTCCCTCGTCAGCCCTCTTGTCTTGCCCTCTCGCTGGCTGGTGGTGATGGAGCCGGCTGCCATGGTGAGCGGCCCTGTGGAGAAGCCAGGGAGGAATGGAGACAATCTGGAGAAACAGAATCACACCAACAACCACGTGCGTGAGCTTGCTGTGTGCTCTTGCTTGGGAGCAAGTTACAGGTTCAGCCCAAGAGGAGCGGACCACTCCAGGGTGTAAATACCAGGAGGGGGAATTGGAAGACTACCCTAAGCATGCCGACCGGAGACTGTGTGTGTGTAGTAGGTATTTCTTACTGGGAGATCACGGAAAAGCAAGTTTGAGAAACACTCCCATCAGATGGGTGGGCCGAGGATAACCTCAAAGCCTTTGGTTCTCCGAATAGGTGCGTAGGACTCACCCAGGCACTCTTTCCTTTTTTAAATTGTGGTAAAAACTACATAACAGTGGCCAGGCGTGATGGTGCACGCCTGTAATCCCAGCTATTAGGGAGGCTGAGGCAGAAGAACTGCTTGAACCAAGGGGGCACCGCTCCTGGCTGTAACATGTTTTCAATATCCCCCCTCTTCGGTGGCACAGGGGCTGGCCCCATATACATGTGCGATGGCAACTGACAGGGTCCCTGATAAACCGGAGTGCTCCAGAAACACCCCATTGCGTGGGACGGAGGATGTTAGGTGGCCCTCCTAGCGTTTGAGTTTGATAAATGAGCAAAGGAAGTGGTTTTTACTAGAAAGCCAGCTTTCCTTTTTTTTTTTTTTTTTTTTCCAGCCAGCAAACCCCAAACAGGAACCTATGGTTGGTGATGGATGTGCGTTCAGAAAGCAGGGAGGGAGGGGGAGTCAGAGGTGAGGGGGTCATCAGCCATAGCTGTCCGCTGCATCACCCCCTCGCTATCTCCAGGAAGCGTTCTGGGCTTTTCCTGTTGTGCAGTGTGGAAGTGCTCTATCTTCATTCATATCAAGGAAAGTCAAAGGACAAACTAAAGCCGGCAGCGTCTTTCTGGCTTCCTAGTCAGGCTGTTCGGTAGCGGAGTGTCACCCTGATTTCCAGCCCCGCAGCACACACAGTGAGAGCCTGCCTGGCGTGATTCAGAGGCAACGTATTTCCCAAGGTGGCTGTGAAGGAACCAGGGGGATAAACACAGCCCGTGAACCGCACGCCAGAGGACAGGTCCGGCTGCCTGCCGCGGAGTCGTCACGGCGTGTCGCGTCTGAGCGCTTCTCCAAAGCACCCAAGTGGCACCCGGGGTGACAGTTACATCATCTTGAGTACAGTTCTCTCAAGGAAAAAGCAAGCCCAGCATCTTCTGCCATGGCAACCCTGGCTTGGAGCCTCCATAAGAGAGAAGGCCCTAAGAATAATACCATTTTCTTGCTCTAAGTTGCTCTTACGGGAAAGAAGTGATAATATTCTTCCTAAACGCCATCATTCGTGCATCCTTCCCACCTATATGTGTCACCGGATCATTCTCCGCCTGGGCGGGGCCGTCCTGTGCACTGCAGAATGCTGAGCAGTGTCCTTGGCTTCGACCGACCACATGCCAGGAGCACCCCAATTTCTGCCATCGGGTGATTGACTTCACTGTTGCATTTGATTTTTTATGTATCTTTTAAAAGGACCCAATAGGGCCAGGCACAGTGGCTCACACTTGTAATCCCAGCACTTTGGGAGGCTGAGGTCGGTGGATTGCTTGAGCCCAGGAGGAGTTCAAGACCAGCCTGGGCAACATAGTGAAACCCCAACTCTACAAAAAACAAATGTTTTATTTTTATTTATTTTAGATGGAGTTTCACTCTTGTTGCCCAGGCTGGAGTGCAGTGGCGCAATCTCGGCTCACTGCAACTTCTGCCTCCCGGGTTCAAGCGATTCTCCTGCCTCAGCCTCCTGAGTATCTGGGATTACAGGCATGCGCCACCACACCCAGCTAATTTTGTATTTTTAGTAGAGATGGCGTTTCTCCATGTTGGTCAGGCTGGTCTCAAACTCCCGACCTCAGGTGATCTGCCTGCCTCGGCCTCCCAGAGTGTTGGGATTACAGGCGTGAGCCACCACGCCCAGCCGGGTTTATAGTTTTATAACCCTTATGACAAATCTCATAGTATTCTGCAGGGATAAGCATGAAACCACTCGTTCAATAAGTGCAAACAAAAACGCCAACAATTCTTAAGACATTTCTAATCTTATTTTACCAATAATTTTAAAGCCAGCTTATGTATTAAAGATTTATAACTACTTTTATTAACACGTTTAAAATTCTATGCAGCTTAAAGCATTTATAATGGATAAAACTGCCAATACTGAGTGCCTGACATAATATTTGAAAGGTGGCAGGCATTCAACCATGGTCACTGAATGAGAGATGTAGGGAAGATGATGGCAGGGAGGTTTTTAGATATCAACACCCTGATAGTTCTCATTTTAACCACCTGTAAGTGCACATACAAGTCAACGGCACTGGCCGGGCGCGGTGGCTCATGCCTGTATTCCCAGCACTTTGGGAGGCCAAATCACAAGGTCAGGAGATCGAGACCATCCTGGCTAACACGGTGAAACCCCGTCTCTACTAAAAATACAAAAAATCAACTAGGCATGGTGGCACGCACCTGTAGTCCCAGCTACTCAGGAGGCTGAGGCAGGAGAATCGCTTGAACCTGGGAGGCGGAGGTTGCGGTGAGCCAAGATCGCGCCACTGCACTCCAGCCTCGGCGACAGAGTGAGACTCCGTCTCAAAAAACCAAAAAACAAAAAACAGTCAATGGCATTAAATATAAATACATTTACAGTGTTGTGTAACCATCACCACTATGGATCCCCCAGACTTTGTCATCATCTTCAACCTAAGCGCTCCCTATTAAATAGTAACTCCCCACTTTTCCCAGGCCTTGGCAACCACCATTCTAATCCCTGTCTCTATGAATTTGACTCCTCTCGATACCTCAGATAAGCGGCACAATGCAGTATTTATCTGTCAAGTCCGGAATATTTCCTTTAGCATAATGTCTTCAAGGTCCATCACGTTGTAGCATGTATCTGAATTTATTCTTTTATAATATTTTTTATTTTTTGGAGACAGAATCTCGCTCTGTCACCCAGGCTGGAGTGCAATGGCGCGATCTCGGCTCACCGCAACTTCCGCGTCCCGGGTTCAAGCCATTCTCCTGTCTCAGCCTCCGGAGTAGCTGGGACTACAGGTGCCTGCCGCCATGCCCGGCTATTTTTTTTTTGTATTTTTTGGGGGTTTTACTGTGTTGCCCAGGCTGGTCTTGAACTGCTGAGCTCAGGCAATCTGCCTGCCTCAGCCTCCTAAAGTACTAGGATTACAGGCATGGGCCACCACGCCCGGCCTTATTTTTATTTTTGAGACAGTCTCACTCTGCCGCCCAGGCTGGAGTGCAGTGGTGCGATCTCGGCTTACCGCAATCTCTGCCTCCCAGGTTCAAGCGATTCTCATGCCTCCGTCTCCCAAGTAGCTGGGATTACAGGCACCTGCCACCATGCCCGGCTAATTTAACGCCCAGCTAATTTTTGTATTTTTAGTAGAGATGGGGTTTCACCATGTTAACCAGGCTGGTCTCGGACTCCTGACCTCAGGTGATCCGCCCGCCTCGGCCTCCCAAAGTGCTGGGATTACAGGCGTGAGCCACTGTGCCTGGCTGATTTTTATTCTTTTAGTTAAGGCTGGTTGATATTACCTTGTGTGTATATACCACATGTTGTTTATCCATTGTTGTTGATGGACATGTGGGTGGTTTCACCTTTTGGCTATTGTGAATAAAGCTGCTATGAACACTGTGTACAAATATGTTAGAGACCCTGTTTTCAGTTCTTTTAGGTGTGTACCCCGAAGTGGAATTGCTGGATTTTATGGCAATCCCACGTTTAACTTCTGGAGGAGCTGCTGGAACTGTTTTCCACAGCAGGGGCGCCATGTTACGTCCCTGCCAGCAATGCACGCGCAGTTCAATTTCTCTGCATACTCACCAATATCTGCTGTTTTCCATTAAAAAAAATTATAGCCGGTCGGGTGCAGTGGCTCATGCCTGTAATCCCAGCACTTTGGGAGACCGAGGCAGGTGGATCAACTGAGGTCAGGAGTTCAAGACCAGCCTGGCCAACACAGTGAAACCCCATCTCTACTAAAAATACAAAAATTAGCCTGGTGTGGTACATACCTATAATCCCAGCCACTTGGGAGGCTGAGGCAGGAGAATCGCTTGAACCTGGGAGGTGGAGGTTGTAGTGGGCCGAGATGGCGCCACTGCACTCCAACCTGGGCAAAAAGAACGAGACTTTGTCTCAAAAGAAAAAAAAAAAATACAGCCATTCCAGAAGGTGTGAAGTCATATCTCACTGTGGTTTTGATGCGTATTTTCCTAGTGACATCAGGGAGTTTATGGGAGCACGGGAACACAGACCAGGCCCCAGCAGGCGGACAAACGGTGCAACGCCAGGCTGGCCAGAGGAGATAAGCGCGGCTCCTTGGAGCTTGTGTGCAAGTCACTGTACTGAGGAGCCGGCTACGGCTCGATGAGTCTCAATTAGGAAAGGCCGGGGCTGGTGGAGGAAGGGAGGAGAGCATTCTTCATCCTCATCACATCCTGAGCCTGTGCCCCAGGCTCCCACCACTTCCCTCCCTGGCCACAGAGCTCAGGACAGGGCTGAGGAACCATGTCTCCATCCCCGACCGCCCTCTTCTGTCTTGGTGAGTCCTGAGGGTCAGATCTGGGAAATGCTGAAGGACAGGCATGGACTGCCAGACAAAGGATTTTTAAGAAATTTGCATTGGTGATGAATTTCAGGACAAAAAGGAACCTGTAAGAGCCCCTTCATTTGTTGGGTGGGGAAACGGGGGGCCAGCGAGCTGGCATTTTGCATGAGTTATTCCAGTGTATTCATGGCTGGGTCAGGAAATGAACAGAGTATCCTAGCATTGGTCACAACTTTGTTCTACTACACTGCAGTTGCCCCTTTTTTAAAAAATGTGGGCCAGGCACAGTGGCTCACGCCTGTAATCTCAACCTTGGGAGGCCGAGGTGGGTGGATCACCTGAGGTCAGGAGTTCAAGACCAGCCTGGTCAACATGGTGAAACCCCATCTCTACAAAAATTAGCCGGGCGTGATGGCGGGTGCTTGTAATCCCAGCTACGTGGGAGGCTGAGGTGGGAGAATTGCTTGAAACTGGGAGGCAGAAGTTGCAGTGAGCTGAGGTCAGGCATTGCACTCCAGCCTGGGCAACAGAGAGAGCCTCCATCTCAAAAAAAAAAAAAAAAAAAAAAAAAAAGGCTGAGTGCCATGGCTTACACACTTTGGGAGGCCGAGGCGGGTGGGCCATCTGAGGTCGGGAGTTTGAGACCAGCCTGACCAACATGGAGAAACCCCATCTCTACTAAAAATACAAAATTAGCCGGGTGTGGTGGCACATGCCTGTAATCCCAGCTACTCTGGAGGCTAAGGCAGGAGAATCGCTTGAACCTGGGAGGTGGAGGTTGCGGTGAGCCAAGATCACACCATTGCACTCTGGCCTGGGCAACAAGAGCGAAACTCCGTCTCAAAAAAAAAAAAAAAAAAATTGTGGAATTGATATCTGGACTAGGTATGGATTTAATTTGTCAGTATCCCCTACAGTAGTGGAGTAAATAGTCTCCTGATGGATGGGTGGCAGGTCGAATGCATTTCTGCTGCCTGATCTTCACTTGTGCTGGGCATGTCGAATGCATTATTTCCTGATTTCTTCAGAATTTGACCACTAAAGGGACAGCATCTCCAAAAGGCTAAGCAGGAAGAAGATGGTTGCATTACTGGAGATGAGAGGGTTAACTGTGAATATAAACAACCTCTCATTCATTATCCATCCATGGATGTATTCTTTTTTTCTTTTTGTTTGTTTTTTGAGATGGAGTCTCGCTCAGTCGGTCGCTCAGGCTGGAATGCAATGGCATGATCTCAGCTCACTGCAAACTCTGCCTCCCGGGTCCAAGTGATTCTCCTGCCTCAGCCTCCCGAATAGTTGGGATTACAGGCATCTGCCACCAGGTCTGGCTAATTATTGTATTTTTAGTAGGGGCGGGGTTTCACCATGTTGGCCAGGCTGGTCTCAAGCTCCTTACTTCAGGTTCCACCCGCCTCGGCCTCCCAAAGTGCTGGGATTACAGGCGTGAGCCACCGCACCCAGCCTGTTTTAACTTTTATTTATTTAATTTTATTTGAGATAGGGCCTCACTTCTGTCACCCAGGCAGGAGGGCAGTGGCATGATCATGGCTCACTGCAGCCTCAACCTCCCAGGCTCAACCAGTGCCTCCCCATCAGCCTCCTGAGTATCTGGAACTACAGTTGTACACCATCATGCCTGGCTTGTTTTTGTAATTTTTTTAGTTACGGGGGTCCGCTATGTTGCCCAGGCTGGTCTTGAACTCCTGGGCTCAAGCGATCCACCCACCTCGGCCTCCCAAAGTGTTGGGGTTACAGGTGTGGCCTGTACAGGTTACTGCATCTGGCTTGTTGCTTCAGTAGCTTTTGGGATACAAGTGGTTCTTGGTTACATGGATGAATTATATTCTGGTGAATTCTGAGATTTTAGTGCACCTGTCACCTGACTAGTGTACCTTGTACCTAATGTGTAGTTTTTCATCCCTGCCCCACTTCTGCCCTTCCCTTCTGAGTCTCTGAAGTCCATTACATCACTCTGCATGCCTTTGCATACCCACAGCTTAGCTCTCACTTATAAGTGAGAATATACAGATTTTTGTTTTCCACTCCTGTATTACTTTACTTAGAATAATGCCTTCCAGCTCCATCCAAGTTGCTGCAAAAGACTTTTTTTTTTTTTTTTTAAAGACGGAATCTCGCTCTCTCACCAAGGCTGGAGTGCAGTGGTGTGATCTCGGCTTACTGCAAACTCCACCTCCCGGGTTTAAGTGATTCTCCTGCCTCAGCCTCCCGAGTAGCTGGGACTACAGGCACCCGCCACCATGCCCGGCTAATTTTTGTATTTTTAGTAGAGATGGGGTTTCACCATGTTGGGCAGGATGGTCTTGATCTCTTGACCTCGTGATCCACCCACCTCGGCCTCCCAGAGTGCTGGCATTACAGATGTGAGCCACTGTGCCTGGCCAAAAGACATTATTTCACTCCTTTTAATGGCTGAGTAGTATTCCACGCTCATTTATTTTTATTTATTTTTATTTTTTGACATGGAGTCTCACTCTGTTGCCCAGACTGGAGCGCAGTGGCATGACGTTGGCTCACTGCAACCTCCACCTCCCAGGTTCAAGCGATTCTCCTGCCTCAGCCTCCCAAGTAGCTGGGATTACAGGCTCCTGCCACTACGCCCCGCTAATTTTTGTATTTTTAGTAGAGACAGGGTTTCACCATGTTGGTCAGGCTGCTCTCGAACTCCTGACTTCAGGTGATCCGCCCACCTTGGCCTCCCAAAATGGGATTACAGGTGTGAGCCAGCGCGCCCGGCCGGTGAGAACATTTAAAATCTACTATCGGTGATATGCAAGTGTACAATATGTTGTTATTAACTACAGTCACCATGATGTGCAGTAGATCTCCAAGACATACTCCTCTTGTCCAACTGAAACTGTCCTCCTCTGACCAACATCTCCCCAAACCTTACCCCACCGCCCCGGTAACCACCACTGTGCTCTCTACTCCTGTAAGTTCCCAAGTCCACACTCTTTACCACTAATTGGTGCTGCTAGGGTTTGAATCTACTCCTGCCAGCTGTAGGACTGTGGATAAGATACTGTCTCACTAGCCTGATGTATAAGAGGGGACTGATAATGGTGGGTAACCCGTACGATTATGGCGACTTGGAGTCCATGCACAGAAGGCGCTCAGCACGGCGCCTGGAAGACTCCCAGCCATGGTACAGCGTCGCATGGAAACCTACAAAGAGGCTGAGGTGGGCTGTGATGCGGCAGGAGGAGGGGGACAGAGAAGCGGCCGGAGCTTGCGTTGGGGTGCAGAGGGAGCCTGGGGTGGACAAAGGGTGGTGGCTATGGGGGCGCTGGTGACAAGTTGTCACTCTCTGAGCTCAGAGTCAAGACATGAGCTGGGTTCACCCACTTCTTGCTATGTGAGCTACACAAGGTTGCTTGGCCTCTGCCCAGTTTCCTTATGTTTACAGTGGGAATGACAACTATCCCGCCTTTGTGTGTGTGTGTGTGTGTGTGTGTGTGTAAGAATGAGGGTTACCAGATAAAACACTGGATGCCTGGTTAAATTGGAATTTCAGATAATTAGTACTTTTTTTTTCCTCCTCCTCTTCGTTTTCTGAGACAGGGTCTTGCTCTGTTGTCAGTCTGGAGTGCAATGGGGCAATATCATTTTTTTTTTTCCTCGAGATGGAGTCTTGCTCTGTTGCCCAGGCTGGAGTGTAGTGGCGTGATCTTGGCTCACTGCAACCTCCGCCTCCCGGGTTCAAGTGATTCTCCTGACTCAGCCTCCCCAGTAGCTAGGATTACAGGCACGTGCCACCATGCCCAGCTAATTTCTGGTATTTTTAGTAGAGATGGTGTTTCACCATGTTGACCAGGCTGGTCTTGAACTCCTGACCTTGTGATCCGCCCACCCTGGCCTCCCAAAGTGCTGGGATTATAGGCATGAGCCACCGTGCCCGGCCAGTGGTGCAATCTTACCTCACAGCAGACTTGACCTCCTGGGCTCAAGCAATTCCAGGAGGGGATCGCTTATGTACATGTATTTGTATACATATGTATACACACACACACACACACACACACACATGCATACATATATACATATACATACATATACACGTGTGTATGTACACACGTGTATATGTACATACACATGTATGTATAGATGTAGGTTTACATATATGCACTATATGTGTATATACATATAGTAATCAGATCAGGGTAAGTAGCACACCCATCTTCTCAAACATGCATCCTTTCTGTGTTGGGAACTTTCCCCATCCTCCTTCAGGCTATTTGAAACGATTATTATATATATTATATCCTATCATGTAATCATGGAATACTGATTCAAGCAAATGTTGTAAATACCGGGAAACCCATGGCCAGCACATGCTGAGACGTCCTGACTTACACGCTGAGGCTCCATCCTGCTCCATCCTTGGAGCCCAATGCATCCCATTAGTGTGGGGTTTTATCGCATATATTACATAGACAATAAAATACAATAATATACAATATGCAATAGTATTTACAATACTTGTCTATACAATTGCATACTATTGTAATGTACTTGGATATTATTTAATATTGGGAGACTGAAGGGAGGAAACGAAGGGACAGCAATGTCTCAGGTCCCATTCCTCACATCCACTGAGGAAGTCAATGGGCAATGTCTAACACGAACGAGCCCACCGTGTCTAACACAACACAAACGAGCCCACCGTGTCTAACACAACACGAACGAGCCCACCGTGTCTAACACAACACGAACGAGCCCACCGCGTCTAACACGAACGAGCCCACCGCGTCTAACACGAACGAGCCCACCGTGTCTAACACAACACGAACGAGTCCACCGTGTCTAACACAACACGAACGAGCCCACCGTGTCTAACACAACACGAACGAGTCCACCGTGTCTAACACAACACGAACGAGTCCACCGTGTCTAACACGAACGAGTCCACCGTGTCTAACACGAACGAGTCCACCGTGTCTAACACGAACGAGTCCACCGTGTCTAACACAACACGAAGGAGTCCACCGCGTCTAACACGAACGAACCCACCGCGTCTAACACGAACGAACCCACCGTGTCTAACACGAACGAACCCACCGTGTCTAACACGAACGAGTCCACCGTGTCTAACACAACACGAACGAGTCCACCGTGTCTAACACAACACGAACGAGTCCACCGTGTCTAACACGAACGAGTCCACCGCGTCTAACACGAACGAGTCCACCGTGTCTAACACAACACGAACGAGTCCACCGTGTCTAACACGAACGAGCCCACCGTGTCTAACACGAACGAGCCCACCGTGTCTAACACGAACGAGTCCACCGTGTCTAACACGAACGAGCCCACCGTGTCTAACACGAACAAGTCCACAGAGAGCAGTACGCCACCATGCCTTGCCCTCCTCTCCCACCACCCCCAGCCATGGATCTGCTTTCTTCTCCATCTCCTATAGATTTACCTATTCTGGATATTTCATGTAAATGACCTCATAAACTATGTGGCTTTTTCTGACCGGTTTCTCTCACTTAAATTACATTCCTGTGTGTCTTTTGAAGAAATTATTAGGACAGAGTAAAGCATATGCATGCAAATGTCTTATCACCGCGCCCAGCAGGCAGGAATGTCCATAAAAGCGAGTCCTGGCATCTGGTCCCTTTCTTCTTTCCTCAGGGCTGTGTCTGGGGCGTGTGCCAGCGCAGAGTGGTGAGTCCTTCCCCAGACCCCTTCCCTCCTGCGGGATCCGCCAGCGCGGGAGCAGCGGGGTCCAGGCGGGGTCTGCGGGGAGGCTGACCCAGCCCTGCTCCTCTTCCAGGACCGCTCCCCAAGCCCTCCCTCCAGGCTCTGCCCAGCTCCCTGGTGCCCCTGGAGAAGCCAGTGACCCTCCGGTGCCAGGGACCTCCGGGCGTGGACCTGTACCGCCTGGAGAAGCTGAGTTCCAGCAGGTACCAGGATCAGGCAGTCCTCTTCATCCCGGCCATGAAGAGAAGTCTGGCTGGACGCTACCGCTGCTCCTACCAGAACGGAAGCCTCTGGTCCCTGCCCAGCGACCAGCTGGAGCTCGTTGCCACGGGTAAAGGAAGGGGGATCGGAGCCTGGGACTGCGTGGTCCTCCGTTCAGGACACAAATACGGGGGACATTGAGGGCAGGGATTAGGGTGAGGCAAACGAGGCACTGGCCTAGCGGGTGGTGGTGCCACGACATTTATGGATCAATGTGAATAATATTTTGTTTTTTGGACACAGGGTCTTGCTGCGTCACCCAGGGTGGAGAGCAGTGGCGCGATCTTGGCTCACTGCAGCCTCCACCTCCAGGGCTCAAGCGATTCTCCCGCCTCAGCCCTCCAAGTAGCTAGGATTACAGGTGTGCACCACCACGCCCAGCTCATTTTTTATGTTTTTATAGAGATGGGGTCTCTTGACAGTTTTCACAAAAGGCATTAAAATACAAAAGAGAGAGAGATAGGGTCTCGCTATGTTGCTCAGGCTGGTCTCGAACTCCTGTGGGCTCAAGCTATCCTTCCACCTTGGCTTCCCAAAGTGTTGGGATTTCAGGCGTGAGCCACTGCATCTGGCTGTGAATAACATTTTCATGCAATTTTTAAAAAAATCAAAATAAATTGCAAAAACATCCACAATGAAAAAAACCAGAATTTCAAATAAAGGCAGAATCAGCCAGTGCCTGTGTCAAGTCATACCAGAGTCTGTGCCAAAACGAAAAACAGGCAACCCTTTATCTGTGTTTTAATGCACTTAAAAAAATTAGCGATGGGGTCTTGCTACACTGCCCAGGCCGGAGTGCAGTGGCTGTTCATAGGAGCAGTCATAGCTCACTGCAGCCTGGAGCTCCTTGCCTTGAGCAATCCTCCTGCCTCAGCCTCATGAGTAGCAGGGACTACGGTCACGGGCCACCGTGCTTGGCTCGGGATTCTTTTTAAAACTTTGTTTTGGAGTAATTTTTAGACTGACAGAAAAGTTCCAAAGATAATATTAATGGAAATATTTCACCCAGGATCCCCTCATGTTAACATCTTACATTTGTTACAACCAAAAAATAAACGTAGCACTGGTCCCAGTGGTTTACACCTGTAATCCCAGCACTTTGGGAGGCTGAGGCGGGAGGATTGCTTGAGCTCAGGAGTTCAAGACCAGCCTGGGCAACATAGTGAGACCTCATCTTTAAACAAAATTAAAAATTAGTGGGGCATGGTGGCATACACCTATAGTCCCAGCTACTCAGGAGGCTGAGGCAGGAGGATCGCTTGAGCCAGGGAGGCCGAGGCTGCAGGGAGCTGTGATCACGCCACTGCACTCCAGCCTGGGTGACAGAGTGAGACCCTGTATCAAAAAACAAACAAAAAACTAACCATAGACACAACTATATTATATCAAGTAAACTCCAGGCTATTTGAATTTCACCAGTCTTTCCACTAATATCCTATTTCTGTTCCCAGACCCCGTCCAGGGCCCCACAGTGCATTTAGTATTTATGTCTCCTTAGACTCTTGATTGGTGCAAATATTCTAATTTCTTTTCTTATTTATTTATTTTTTTTAAGAGAAGAGGTTGGGCCGGGCGCGGCGGCTCACGCCTGTAATCCCAGTACTTTGGGAGGCTGAGGTGGGTGGATCACTTAAGGTCAGGAGTTTGAGACCAGCCTGGCCAACATGGTGAAACCCCGTCTCTACTAAAAAAAATAATAATAATTAGCTGGGCGCGGTGGCGCACTCCTGTAATCCCAGCTACTCCGGAGGCTGAGGCAGGAGAATCGCTTAAACCTGGGAGGCGGTGAGCCGAGATTGCACCACTGCAGTCCAGCCTGGGCGACAGAGCAAGACTCCGTCTTGGGAAAAAAAAAAAAAGAGAAGAGGTCTTACTATGTTGCCCAGGCTTTAGTACACTCGCTGTATTCACAGGCATGATCATAGCTCACTTTAGCCTCAAATCCCTGGGCTCAAGTGGTCCTCCCTAGTAGCTGGGACTATAGGTGCACCCAGTTAGTGCACTTTTAAATGGTTATTTTCTAGAAGTAGGTTTTGGAAATAGCACTGATGCGCTTGCATCCACAAAAGCCTAGAATGTAAAATTCTAATAAATCTTTCAGGGGAATAAAGTATTCAAACAGAATAATGTGAGTTTTAACGACCTACTCTTCAAATTTTCAATAATTTTTTCAAATATGTTAATTGTTTGGGAATAATTAAATTTTACATCCCAGGAGAGTGCCTCACTCACGCCACCCTAATTCCTGGCCAGCTGCACTGTGGTCTATTCCGCGTTATAAATCCTGCCTCCCTCCCCTCTTCCCTGCCTCACTCCCCTCCACAGCATCACTGGCCTCCTCTCTGCTACTAGAATGGACCAGCCTGGCTGCCTCATTACTTCTTTCAGGGTCAGACTCAAATACTCTCTTCTCGCTAAGTATATCCCCCACCACCCTAGTCAAAGTGGCCCTCCTCACTATCTGGTATGTGAAGTATACCTTTTTTTATCTTGGTGGTGGTTGTCTATTTTTAATTCCTGGTCGGGCACGGTGGCTCACGCCTGTAATGCCAGCACTTTGGGAGGCCGAGGTGGACGGATCACCTGAGGTCAGGAGTTCGAGATCAGCCTGGCTAACATGGTGAAACCCTGTCTCTACTAAACATACAAAATTAACTGGGCATGGTGGTGCATGCCTGTAGTCCCAGCTACTCGGGAGGCTGAGGCAGGAGAATCGCTTGAACCCAGGAGGTGGAGGTTGCAGTGAGCTGGGATCATGCCACTGCACTCCAGCCTGGGCAACAGAGTGAGATTCTGTTTCCCAAAAAAAAAAAAAAAAAAAAAAAAAAAAAAAATATATATATATATATATATATATATATATATATATATATATATATATATATATATATATGCCATTGCACTCCAGCCTGGGTGACAGAGCGAGACTCCGTCTCAAAACAAAACAAAACAAAACAAAACAAATGAAACAACAAAAAAAGAATACAGACAGACACATAATAGTTGCTTAAGTGAAAATTAAGAGAAAATATTGCTGAGTGAATGTTACAGTTATCAGGCAGCTTATATATTTCCTTCCTTCCTTCCTCCCTCCCTCCCTTCCTTCCTCTTTCTTTCTTTTTCTTCTTGTTGAGTGAATGCCATAATTATTAGGCAGCTTATATTTTTATCTTCCTTACTTCCTTTCTTTTGCTTTCTCTCTCTGTCTTTTTTTGAGACAAGGTCTCACTCTGTCACCCAGGCTAGTGTACAGTGATCATAGCTCACTGCAGCCTCGCCTTCCTGGGCTCAAGCGATCCTCCCACCTTGGCCTCCCAAAGTGCTGGGATGACCGGTGTGAGCCGCCGCACCCAGCCTCAACCTTTGTTTTTCTGACTCCTGTGTGCAGGCATGCATCACCACACCGGTCTATGACAACAACCTCACATCAGAGTAGTGTAGGTTCGTGTTTAGGAGCGGAGACCCTGGAATCAAACTCTGTGAGTGCAGATTTCAACTCTGCCACTTATGATCTTGGACAAGTTTTTTATTTATTTTTAAATTAAAATATGTCCAGCTTTGTTGAGGTATAATTGAAAAACAAAAATGGAATATATCCAAGGTGTACAAGTTGATGTTTTGATATACGAATCCACTGTGAGACAGTTACTACTAGCAAGCTAATTAACATACATCACCTGACACAGTTAACTTTTTTGTGTGTGAGAATACTTATAATCTACCCTCTTAGCAAATTTCAGCTGTACACTGCAGTATTGTTACCTAGAGTTGGACAAATTATTTAATGCCATGTGCCTTAGTTTCATTTATAAAATAGGGACATTAAGAGTGAGGACTCCATAGGTCTCTGAGGATTCACTGAACTGATATACATCATAAGTTTGGAAGGCACCCGGAAGCTAGCACTGTCAGCCACATTTACAACGTAACAATTGTATGTGGCAATACAAGCTTACAGCACAGTATAAGCTTAAGCTATTTACTTACTCCAGCGCTTGCTAGGCAACAGGCACTCTGCAAATTACTGTGTACTGTCTCATTCAGTCATCCCCATTTTAACAGAACAAGGCAGTGAGGCTCAGATACAGAGGGAGATTTGTCTCCAGGGCCACCAGGCCCCTGAAGGCAGAACTAGGATTTGCACCCAAGCACTAGGACGTGAGCACAGCCTCCTTCCTCAACCACTGGGTGACTCGACCTCTCTGTGAGCTTGGGTGGGGGAGTGCGCTCTCTGGGAGGGATACAGCCAAAAAGCTCCCCAGCTCTTAGGCAGGTGTGGGGACCTCCCCAGTCTCAGCTGAGATGCTGGCTCCTGCCTTCAACATCAGACTTTCTTTTTCTCCCAGGAGTTTTTGCCAAACCCTCGCTCTCAGCCCAGCCCGGCCCGGCGGTGTCGTCAGGAGGGGACGTAACCCTACAGTGTCAGACTCGGTATGGCTTTGACCAATTTGCTCTGTACAAGGAAGGGGACCCTGCGCCCTACAAGAATCCCGAGAGATGGTACAGGGCTAGTTTTCCCATCATCACGGTGACCGCCGCCCACAGCGGAACCTACCGATGCTACAGCTTCTCCAGCAGGGACCCATACCTGTGGTCAGCCCCCAGCGACCCCCTGGAGCTTGTGGTCACAGGTAGGGGTAGTGCAGACCAAACCTTTCTTCCTCAGCCTTTATAGGTCCTGATGGCCATTCCAAGGGAGGGGCCATAAGTGGGAAGGAAGTGGGAGGGCAGGAAGCCCTGGGCTGCAGGGGCGGGGCCGTAGGTGGGAAGGAAGTGGGAGGGCAGGAAGCCCTGGGCTGCAGGGGCGGGGCCGTAGGTGGGAAGGAAGTGGGAGGGCAGGAAGCCCTGGGCTGTAGGGGCGCGGCCATAGGTGGGAAAGAAGTGGGAGGGCAGGAAGCCCTGGGCTGCAGGGGCGGCGCCAGAGGTGGGAAGGAAGTGGGAGGGCAGGAAGCCCTGGGCTGCAGGGGCGGGGCCGTAGGTGGGAAGGAAGTGGGAGGGCAGGAAGCCCTGGGCTGCAGGGGCGGGGCCGTAGGTGGGAAGGAAGTGGGAGGGCAGGAAGCCCTGGGCTGCAGGGGCGGGGCCGTAGGTGGGAAGGAAGTGGGAGGGCAGGAAGCCCTGGGCTGCAGGGGCGGGGCCGTAGGTGGGAAGGAAGTGGGAGGGCAGGAAGCCCTGGGCTGCAGGGGCGGGGCCGTAGGTGGGAAGGAAGTGGGAGGGCAGGAAGCCCTGGGCTGCAGGGGCGGGGCCAGAGGTGGGAAGGAAGTGGGAGGGCAGGAAGCCCTGGGCTACAGGCAGCTGGGAGAATGGAGGTTTCTTTTTTTTTTTTTTGACGAAGTCTCACTCTGTCACCCAGGCTGGAGTGCAGTGGCGCGATCTCAGCTCACTGCAACCTCCGCCTTCCGGGTTCAAGCGATTCTGCTGCCTCAGCCTCTCGAGTAGCTGGAATTACAGGTGCCTGCCACCATGCCCGGCCAATTTTTGTATTTTTAGTAGAGACGGGGTTTCACTATGTTGGTCAGGCTGGTCTTGAACTGACCTCATGATCTGCCCGCCTCGGCCTCCCAAAGTGCTGGGATTACAGGCGTGAGCCACCGCGTCGGACTTGACTACCATTCTTAAAGGGGGTTTCTTTCAAAAAAGAGCAGCATACCTCATAATGTGGTTATATACATGCAATGGAATATTATGCAGCCTTAAAAAAGAAGGAAATTCTGACACATACTACAACATGGATATACCTTGAGGACATTATGCTAAGTCAGTCACAAAAGGACAACTACTGTATGATTCTAGTCAAAGGAGGTATCTAATGTCAACACTGTAGAAACACAAAGTACAATGGTGGTTGTTAAGGGCCAGAAAGAGGAGAGAGAAGGAATTAGTGTTTAATGGGCACAGAATTTCAGTTTTGCAAGAAAAATAAGTTCTAGAGGTCAACATATTGTACCACAATGTGAACATACCCAACGCCACTGATCAGTACATTTAACAATGTCATATTAAATCAAACAAAATACATCATTTAGTTTTTGGTAGAAAAATCTGTTTTGCCCCCAGGGTCACAGTGAGGGGTAGGACACAGGAATCCAGAAGAAATAGAACTGAGGTTGAAAAAGGTGGACGGGAGCTGCATGCATTTCCTTGTTAATAGCCCAGAATGTGCCAGGTGTGCTTTACAAATGCTGCTGCTTTTTTTTTTTTTTTTTTTTTTGGGGGGAGTCTCACTTTGTCACCCAGGCTGGAGTGCAGTGGAGTGATCTCAGTTCACTGCAACCTCCACCTCCTGGGTTTAAGCGATTCTCCTGCCTCAGCCTCCTGAGTAGATGGGATTACAGGCACCTGCCATCATGCCCAGCTAATTTTTGTATTTTTCGTAGAGACAGGGTTTCACCATGTTGGCCAGGCTGGTCTTGAACTCTTGACCTCAGGTGATCTGCCTGCCTCGGCCTCTCAAAGTGCTGGGATTACAGGTGTGAGCCACCACGCCTGGCTAAGCCTTTTTTTTTCAGATGGAGTCTTACTGCGTCACCCAGGCTGGAGTGCAGTGGTGCGATCTCAGATCACTGCAACCTCTGCCTCCTAGGTTCAAGTGATTCTCCTGCCTCAGCCTCCCGAGCAGCTGGGATTACAGGTGCACACCACCACGCCTGGCTAATTTTTGTATTTTTAGTGGAGACGGGGTTTCACCATACTGGCCAGGCTGGGCTTGAACTCCTGACCTCAAGTGATCTGCCCTCCTCAGCCTCCCAAAGTGCTGGGATTACAGGCATGAGGCACTGCACCCAGCTCAAATGCTTATTAACATCCACAACAGTCCAGTGATGTAAGCTACTTTAGGCTCATTTTTCCGGTGAGGAAACTCAGTCACGGAGATGTTTCGTTATTTGTTCAGGACCCACAGCGACAGAGCACAGATTTATCTCATTTTCTGATTTCCCAGGAACCTCTGTGACCCCCAGCCGGTTACCAACAGAACCACCTTCCCCGGTAGCAGGTAGGTTCTGCAGGGTCCATTCTGGTGCACAGCGTATGAGGTACACGGACCCCTTCTCTCTCTCCTCTCTGCCTAGACTTCTCGATTTAATTCAGTTGGTTCTTTCACAGATTTGCTTTGTTTTAAAAATCCTTTATTTCTGCCTGTAAACAGGGTGGGTGTCCTAAGTAGTTAGATGTTAAGATGCTGCCCCCAATCCTACTCTAGGTGGATGGTTTATCACATATAACATGCAGAAGAATAATCGGAGTGGCTTGCTATACTGTGGAGTCCAGCTGGTTGAATATGGGTGACAAAAACAAACAAACTAACCAACCAACCAACCAACCAACCAACCAACAAACCTGTAGAGTCCGGGACTCTGTTTCTGAGTCACTGAATGCATTGATCAGCGGTTCTCAAACTTCCATGAGCATAAGAATCACCTGGAGGCTTAAAGAATAGATTTCTGAGCCCCCAGGGCTTCTGCTTCAGTAGGTCTGGGGTGAATCCAGTCATTTTCATTCCTAGTAAGTTCCCAGGTGATGCTGATGCTATGGCTCCAGAATGCTGCTTTGAGAACCACTGCGGTAAGTTTTGTGTGAGGCGTGTTATCCCCTCCACTTTCACAAACATCTCAGCTGAATACGGTGTACCAGACTACGGCCTGCACTTTAAGAATATCATACGCTAGGCTGGAGGCTGGGCGTGTCTAACATTCCCTGTGTCTCAGAGTGAAGCACCAAGGCAGGAGAAACATGCTGGAAAGAGCCGAGGTTGATAAGGATGAGATTTGCGGGGTTGAGGGCAGAGTGAGGGCTATTATGCCTAGTGGGCAGGGACATGGAAGATGGTCACATACTGTGTGCGTGCATATGTGTGTGTGCGTGCATGTGCGTGTGTGCGTGCATATGTGTGTGTGCGTGCATATGTGTGTGCATGCGTGCATATGTGTGTGTGTGCATGCGTGCATATGTGTGCGTGTGCTTCTGACTGAATTTTTGAACTTTCTCTTTTGAAATGGTTCTAGAGTCACAGGAAGTCTACAATGATAGAACAGAAGAATCCCATGTGCTCTTTTTCCAGTTTCCTCTAATGGTTACATCTTACGTAATTAGAGTACAACATAAAAACCAGGAATTTGACATTGGCATAAAGTAGGTGTCTAGTTCTATGCCAATTTGTCACAGTTGTAGATTCGCGTCACCATCACCGCAGTCACTGTACAGAACTCTTCCGTCTCACAAGGGCCTCCCTTGGGCTACCCTTTTATATTCACACCTACACCCTTCTCCTTCCCTTGCCATCCCTAACTCCTGGTATCCATTAATTTGTTCTCCATCTCTATAATCTTCCATTTCTAGAATCTGATGTAAATGGGATCATCCAGTATGCAACCGTTTGAGATATCCTTTTGTCACTCAGTGCAATGCCCCTGAGGCCCATCCAAGCTGCTGTATGTATCAATGATGTGTTCCTTTTGATTGCTGAGCAATATTTCATGCTATATTAGGCCGATTTTGTGCTGCTATAAATATCTGAGACTGGATCATTGATAAGAAAAGAGGTTTAATTGGTTCATGGTTCTGAAGGCCGTATAGGAAGCAGAAGGCTGGCTTCTGCTTTTGGGGAGGCCTCAGGAAGCTTACAGTCATGGCAGAAGGCAAAGAGGGGGTAGCTGTCTCATGTGGTGGGAGCAGGAGCAAGAGAGAGAGAGAGTTGGGACTGGGGGACATGCCACACTTTGCAATAGCCAGATCTTGTGAGAATTCACTTACTATTGCAAGGAAAGCACCAAGCAATGAGGGATCCACCCCTATGATCCAAACACCTCCCACCAGGCCCCCACCTCCAACATTGGGGATCATAATCCAGTATGAGATTTGGTGGGAACACATATTCAAACTGTATCACATGGCATGCAAATACCACACGCTGTGTTGAAATCAAAATCAAAACAAGGTGTATTAAATAGGGAATCCTTTCCCCATTGCTTGTTTTTGTCAGGTTTGTTGAAGATCAGATGGTTGTAGATGTGTGGTCTTATTTCTGAGATCTCTATTCTGTTCCATTGGTCTATGTGTCTGTTTTTGTACCAGTACCATGCTGTTTTGGTTACTATCACCTTGTAATATAGTCTGAAGTCTGAGCCTGAGGCCTCCAGCTTTGTTCTTTTTGCTTAGTATTGTCTTGGCTATATGGGCCCTTTTTTGGTTCCATATGAATTTTATAGTTTTTTCTAATTGTGTGAGGAATGTCAATGATAGTTCAATGGGAATAGCAATGAATCTATAAATTACTTTGGGCAGTATGGCCATTTTCACGATATTGATTCATCCTATCCATGAGCATGGAATGTTTTTCCATTTGTTTGTGTCCGCTCTGATTTTCTTGAGCAGTGAATTGTAGTTCTCCTTGAAGATGTCCTTCACTTTCCTTGTTAGCTGTATTCCTAGGTATTTTATTCTCTTTGTAGCAATTGTGAATGGGAGTTCCTTCATGATTTGGCTCTCTGCCTGTCTATTGTTGGTGTATAGGAATGCTTGTGATTTTTGCACATTGATTTTGTATCCTGAGACTTTGCTGAAGTTGCTTATCAGCTTAAGAAACTTTTGGGCTGAGATGATGGGGTTTTCTAGATATAGGATCATGTCATCTGCAAACAGAGATAGTTTGATTTCCTCTCTTCCTATTTGAGTATCCTTTATTTCTTTCTCTTGCCTGATTATCCTGGCCAGAACTTCCAATACTATGTTGAATAGGAGTGGTGAAAGAGGGCATCCTTGTCTTGTGCTGGTTTTCAAGGGAAATGCCCATTTAGTATGAAATTGGCTGTGGGTTAATAAATGGTGCTGGGAGAATTGGCTAGCCATATGCAGAAAATAGAAACTGGACCCGTTCCTTACACCTTGTACAAAAATTAACTCAAGATGGATGAAAGACTTGGATGCAAAACCCGAAAACTATAAAAACCCTAGAAGAAAATCTAGGTAATACCATTCAGGACACAGGCATGGGCAAAGATTTCATGACAAAAACGTCAAAAGCAATTGTAACAAAAGCAAAAACTGACAAATGGGATCTAACTAAACTAAAGAGCTTCTGCTCAGCAAAAGAAAGTATCATCAGAGTGAACAGACAACCTACAGAATGGGAGAAAATGTTTGCAATCTATCAATTCACAAAAGTCTAATATCCAGAATCTACAAGGAAGTTAAACAAATTTACAAGAAAAAAAAAACCATTAAAAAGTGGGTAAAGGACATGAACAGTCACTTCTCAAAAGAAGACGTTTATGCAGCCAGTAAACATACAAAAAAAAGCTCAACATCACCAATCATTAGAGAAATGCAAATCAAAACCACATTTAGACACCATCTCACACCAGTCAAAATGGCGATTATTAAAAAGTCAAGAAACGCCGGGCACGGTGGCTCACGCCGGTAATCCCAGCACTTTGGGAGGCCGAGGCAGGCAGATCACAAGGTCAGGAGATCGAGACCATCCTGGCTAACACGGTGAAACCCCGTCTCTATTAAAAATACAAAAAATTAGCCGGGCGTGGTGGCGGGCGCCTGTAGTCCCAGCTATTCGGGAGGCTGAGGCAGGAGAATGGCGTGAACCCGGGAGGCGGAGGTTGCAGTGAGCCAAGATTGTGCCACTGCACTCCAGCCTGGGCGACAGAGCAAGACTCCATCTCAAAAAAAAAAAAAAAAAACCAACAAAAGTCAAGAAACAACAGGTGCTGGCGAGGCTGTGGAGAAATAGGAATGCTTTTACACTGTTGGGAATGTAAATTAGTTCATTGTGGAAGACAGTGTGGTGATTCCTCAAAGACCCAGAACCAGAAATCCTTTTTCCTTTTTTTTTTTTTTGAGATGTAGTATTGCTCAATAGCCCATGCTGGAGTGCAGTGGTGCGATCTCGGCTCACTGCAACCTCCACCTCCCAGGTTCAAGCAATTATCCTGTCTCAGCCTCCTAAGTAACTGGGACTACAGGCGCCTGCCACCATGCCTGGCTTTTTTTTTTTTTTTTCTTTTAGTAGAGATGGGGTTTTACCTTGTTGGTCATGCTGGTCTCAAACTTCTGACCTCAGGTGATCCACCTGCCTCGGCCTCCCAAAGTGCTGGGATTACAGGCGTGAGCCACCGCACCAGGGCCACCTTTTTTTTTTTTTTTTTTTTTTAAACAGAGTCTCACTCTGTCACCCAGGCTGGATTGCAGGGGCATGATCTCGGCTCACTGCAGCCTCTGCCTCCAGGGTTCAAGTGATTCTCCTGCCTCAGCCTCCCGAGTAGCTGGGACTGCAGGTGCATGCCACAACGCCTGGCTAATTTTTGGATTTTTGCTAGAGACGGGAGTTTCACCATGTTGGCCAGGGTGGTCTTGAGCTCCTGACCTCAGGTGATCTGCCCACCTCGGCCTCCCAAAGTGCTGGGATTACATGTGTGAGCCACTGCGCCTGGCCAGAAATACCATTTGACCCAGCAATCCCATTACTGGTTATATACCCAAAGGAATATAAATCATTGTATTATAAAGATACATGCACACATATGTTCATTGCAGCACTATTCACAATAGCAAAGACAAGGAATCAACCCAAATGCCCATCAATGATAGAAAGGATAAAGCAAATACAGTACATATACACCATGGAATACTATGCAGCCATAAAAAGGAATGAGATCATGTCCTTTGCAGGGACATGGATGGAGCTGGAAAACATTATCCTCAGCAAACTAACACAGGAACTGAAAACCAAACACTGCATGTTCTCACTTGTAAGTGGCAGCTGAACAATGAGATCACATGGACACAGGGAGGGGAACACCACACACTGGGGCCTGTAGGGGGAATTGGGGGAGGGAGAGGATCAGGATAAATAGCTGATGCGTGTGGGGCTTAATACCTAGGTGATGGGTTGATGGGTGCAGCAAACCACCATGGCACACGTTTACCTATGTAACAAACCTGCACGTCCTGCACATGGATTCTGGAACTGAAATTTTAATTGAAAAAAAAAAAAAAGGTTTATTAATGCATCTCACACGAAGAGAAATAACAAAGACCAAATAATACCCACACTCTCATTATGCCACCGAGAGCTGAGCATAAACTAGTTTTTTCCAAGCTGGTTCCACCATAAAAAGACTCCCAGGATAGTACCCACTGCAACAAGAGCTTCGTATTTATCAGCTGAGGCAGTTCAGGAATATTTTGGTGGCCTCAGGAGGCCCCTGGTTAAGAAAATGGCCTGGCCGGGCGCGGTGGCTCACGCCTGTATTCCCAGCACTTTGGGAGGCTGAGGCGGGTGGATCACAAGGTCAGGAGATCGAGACCATCCTGGCTAACACGGTGAAACCCCATCTCTACTGAAAATACAAAAAAATTAGCCAGGCGTGGTGGCGGGTGCCTGTAGTCCCAGCTACTCGGGAGGCTGAGGCAGGATAATGGTGTGAACCCGGGAGGCAGAGCTTGCAGTGAGCCGAGATTGCACCACTGCACTCCAGCCTGGACGACAGAGTAAGACTCTGTCTCAAAAAAAAAAAAAAAAAGAAAAAAAGAAAATGGCCTAAGTTGGAAGGTGGAGATCCCGTGTTCTGAGGCTAACACGAGCTCATTCTTCCTCTAGGCTCACGAAGACATGGATCCACATCTTATTATTCAAACTGAGATATAATTCACATACCATAAAATTCACCATGCCAACTAGGATGACTATGATTTTTAAAACAAAACAAACGGACAAGAAGTATTGGTGAGGATTTGGAAGAACCTTCTTATATTGCTGGTGGGAATATAAAATGGTGCAGCTGCTTTGAAAAACAGTCTGTGGCCAGGCGCAGCCTGTAATCCCAGCACTTTGAGAGGCCAAGGAGGGTGGATCACGAGGTCAGGAGATCGAGACCATCCTGGCCAACATGGTGAAACCCCGCCTCTACTAAAGTACAAAAAAAAAAGTTGGCCAGGCGTGATGGCAGGTGCCTGTAATCCCAGCTACTCGGGAGGCTGAGGGAGGAGAATCGCTTGAACCCAGGAGGTGGAGGTTGCAGTGAGCTGAGATCGCGCCACTGCACTCCAGCCTGGGCAACAGAATGAGACTCTGTCTCAAAAAAAAAAAAAAAAGAAAAAAAAGAAAGAAGTCTGGTAGTTCTTCAAAAAGTAAAACACAGAGTTACTGTATGACCCAGTGATTCCACCACCCCTGGGTGTGTACCCAAGAGAACAGAAAACTTATGTTCACACAAAAACCTGTACGTCAATGTTCACAGCAGCAATATTCATAACAGCAAAACGTGGAAAAAAAACCAAGTGTCTATCAATTGCTGAACGGATCTGCTTCTTACTAAGCCGGTCATGGAAGATAAGTCTTACACCTTTCGAATTTGTCTGTCTTCAGTGTCTGTGCAGTGTGTCAGAGAAAGGGGTTTCAGGGAGCCTAGATATCTCAAAAGGGGAATGGAGATATCTAGAGGATATAGGGAACCACGGGGAAGACCTAACATTGTTTTGCTTTCTTAGAATTCTCAGAAGCCACCGCTGAACTGACCGTCTCATTCACAAACGAAGTCTTCACAACTGGTGAGTAACCAGGCATTTCATGCTCAGCAGAAAGGAGTGTGAGGACGGAGCTCTCTCTTCCATTATCTAAGCCTGTAGGCTTTTAATCACTTCACCGAACTGTCCGTCTCTTACCAAGAAAGTCCTTGGTGTGAGGCTAGAGCATGGGTGCAGAGTGGAGCTCTGGGGTTCAGAAGGAGGAGCGTTTTGGGTGATGGGGCCATTTCAAAGATGGCGGAGCCAAGGCTGTGGCGGGACGACCGCCATCCCTACGCACTGCTCCCAGGATGAAGTCCTAGGCTTTGGACTCGGCTGTGATCCAGGTATTTAATCTCGCTCCTCACTGTGTCCAGGTAGAGCCCATGCTCGGACGCACACAGACTGTAGGCACCTGGACACAGCACATCTTCTAACCGCTCCAGGCCTCTGCAGATACGCTTTCCTCAGTCTCTTTCCCCTTGCCTGTCCTGGAAAATCTCCATTTCCTTCCAGACTAAACACCTTCACAGATTCCCTGATAATAGGTTAGATACTTCCACTGGGCCCACATGACTCTGGCTTTCATGAGGCACCTGATCCCACGTAGTTCTATTTTTTATTTTTTTGAGGTGGAGTCTTGCTCTGTCGCCCAGGCTGGAGTGCAGTGGTGCGATCTCGGCTCACTGTAACCTCTGCTGCCCGGGTTCAAGCGATTCTCCTGCCTCAGCCTCCCGAGTAGCTGGGATTATAGGTGCATGCCACCACACCTGGCTAATTTTTGTATTTTAGTAGAGACGGGGTTTCAGCATCTTGGGAAGGCTGGTCTTGAACTCCTGACCTCATGATCCACCTGTCTCGGCCTCCCAAAGTGCTGGGATTGGAGGCATGAGCCACCGCGCCCGGCATATCCCAGGGAGTTCTGTGATGGAAGCCTTCCCTATCTTCAGTTCGGAACCTCCCAATCACCCTCAGGATGCAGTTCCAATTCCTCAGCTTGCTATTCTGTGAGCTTAGATATCCAGCCCCTGTTGATCCCTCCAATTTTGTCTGCATACCTTCCACGCATTCCCATGCTGTTCTCAGCCACACACAGTCACTTGAAGCTCTCCTGGAGGCTTCCTAACCTCTCCTGACTCTGCACCCAACCCACTCACTCTGCCTTTTCTTCCATTTCCCCATGGCATCAATTCCTCAAGAAAGCCTTGACCGTCCAGGCTGGATCGATGGTTTCCTCTGCTCTCGCTCAGTGTCTTGTGGGCTGCCTATTACAGCAATTTTTACAGTATATTAAAATTATCGCTTTGTCTGTAATCCCAGCACTTTGGGAGGCCAAGGTGAGTGGATCACCTGAGGTCAGGAGACCAGCCTGGCCAACATGCTGAAACCCCGTCTCTACTGAAAATACAAAAATTAGCCGGGCGTGGTGGTGGGCACCTGTAATTCCAGCTACTTGGGAGGCTGAGGCAGGAGAATCGCTTGAACTCACGAGTTGGAGGTTGCAGTGACCTGAGATCACACCACAGCACTCCAGCCTGGGCAACAGAGTGAGACTCCGTATTAAAAAAAAAAAAAAATCGCTTTACTTTTTGGTCTCCTGCAATAGTCTGGGAACCGCAGATGGACAATGTCTTATGGTTTTTTTGTTTTTTGTTGTTGTTTTTGAGACGGAGTCTCACTCTGCTCACTCTGTGATCTGTGATTTCGGCTCACTCTGCGATCTCAGCTCACTGCAATCTCCGGCTCCTGAGTAGCTGGGACTACAGGTGTGTGCCACCATGCCCAGCTATTTTTTGTATTTTTAGTAAAGACGGGGTTTCACCATGTTGGCCAGGATGGTCTCGATCTCTTGACCTCAGGTGATCCGCCCACCTTGGCCTCCCAAAGTGCTGGGATTACAGGCATTCAGCCAGTGTCATGCCTGGCCTGACAATGTCTTATTAATATTTGGGTTCCCATGGCCCAGCACATGGCTGAGTACCTGGCGAGTCTCAGGAGATACTTGAGGAATAAGAGAGCTGGAGGCCGGGTGCAGTGGCTCACGCCTGTAATCCCAGCACTTTGGGAGGCCTAGGCGGGCGGATCACAAGGTCAGGAGTTCAAAACCAACCTGGCCAATATGGTGAAATCCCATCTCTACTAAAAATACAAAACTTAGCTGGGCGTGGTGGCGGACGCCTGTAGTCCCAGCTACTCGGGAGGCTGAGGCAGGAGAATCGCTTGAGCCCAGGAGGCGGAGGTTGAAGTGAGCCGACATCGGGCCACTGCACTCCAGCCTGGGAGACAGAGCCAGACTCTGTCTCAAAAAAAAAAAAAAAAAAGCTGGCACGTATGAGGTGCTCATATGTCAAGCACGGTGCTTTATATTTCTACCATTATTATTATCTTGACTTTCACATCAACCTATAAGGGATCTTGTTAATTTTATTGGACACATGGGGAACTGGCTCACAGATGCTGAGTCACTTGCCAGATAACTGACATCTAATAGGTGATAGAGTTGGGGTTCAAATCTGGAGGACAGCCTGACTCTACAGTTCTTGCTTTTTTTTTTTTGGACAGGGTCTCGCTCTGTTTCCCAGGCTAGAGTGCAGTGGTACAATCCTGGCTCACTGCAGCCTCAACCTCCCAGGGCTCAGGTGATCTTCCTGCCTCAGCCTCCACTGAGTAGCTGGGATTACTGGCACGTGCCACCACGCCTGGCTAATTTTTGTATTTTTTTGTAGAGATAGGGTTTTTCTATGTTGCTCAGGTTGGTCTTGAACTCCTGGACTCAAGCCAGCCTCCTACCTCAGCCTCCCAAAGTGCTGGGATTATAGGCATGAGGCACCGTGCCCGGCCCATGCTTTTCTTAAATGCTGTGGAATTGTGCCTCCCCATGTGTGTGTGTGTTCGGAGTAGGCACAGTGACAGGGGGCGGGAATATGGTTTCATTTCACACTTAGCCTTTGTTTGGTTCCCAGAGACTTCTAGGAGTATCACCGCCAGTCCAAAGGAGTCAGACTCTCCAGCTGGTGAGTAAGTCATCCTCTCCAGACCCCCTTCCTTCTCACCCGTCTCTTCACCAAAGCCAACTCCTTTGTCTACGCAGGGGCTGCAGCTCTCAGATCTTGGGTTCCAGTGTGTAGAGTAAAGGCAGAATATCAGCGTATGGGGTTCAGAATTGGGCATTAAGATCAGGTGGGAAGGTTGAGATTTTAAAAAGGGTCAGAGAAAGAGAGATTCCATCTCTTCCCCACCCCTTATAACTGTCCTCTCTTTTGCAATGCATCAGATAACGAGGCAGCATCTGTGTCTGGGGAGGAGTTGTCTCAGAGCCCTGTGAGAGCACAGGAGGGAGAGGTGCTACTTAGAGAATTGGGGTCATCTGGCCCTGACCCCTACTCGGGAAGGGAGGGACCCTCCAGGAAAGTGAGCGGCATCCCCTAGCTAGTAGAGAATAATAGGATCTCTGAGAAGCCCAGATGTGGCTTGGAGGGGGTCCTGGAGGTGGGCTCTTTCACCTGCTCCTGCCTCTCCTCATTCCTCCAGGTCCTGCCCGCCAGTACTACACCAAGGGCAACCTGGTCCGGATATGCCTCGGGGCTGTGATCCTAATAATCCTGGCGGGGTTTCTGGCAGAGGACTGGCACAGCCGGAGGAAGCGCCTGCGGCACAGGGGCAGGGCTGTGCAGAGGCCGCTTCCGCCCCTCCCGCCCCTCCCGCTGACCCGGAAATCAAACGGGGGTCAGGATGGAGGCCGACAGGATGTTCACAGCCGCGGGTTATGTTCATGACCGCTGAACCCCAGGCACGGTCGTATCCAAGGGAGGGATCATGGCATGGGAGGCGACTCAAAGACTGGCGTGTGTGGAGCGTGGAAGCAGGAGGGCAGAGGCTACAGCTGTGGAAACGAGGCCATGCTGCCTCCTCCTGGTGTTCCATCAGGGAGCCGTTCGGCCAGTGTCTGTCTGTCTGTCTGCCTCTCTGTCTGAGGGCACCCTCCATTTGGGATGGAAGGAATCTGTGGAGACCCCATCCTCCTCCCTGCACACTGTGGATGACATGGTACCCTGGCTGGACCACATACTGGCCTCTTTCTTCAACCTCTCTAATATGGGCTCCAGACGGATCTCTAAGGTTCCCAGCTCTCAGGGTTGACTCTGTTCCATCCTCTGTGCAAAATCCTCCCGTGCTTCCCTTTGGCCCTCTGTGCTCTTGTCTGGTTTTCCCCAGAAACTCTCACCCTCACTCCATCTCCCACTGCGGTCTAACAAATCTCCTTTCGTCTCTCAGAACGGGTCTTGCAGGCAGTTTGGGTATGTCATTCATTTTCCTTAGTGTAAAACTAGCACGTTGCCCGCTTCCCTTCACATTAGAAAACAAGATCAGCCTGTGCAACATGGTGAAACCTCATCTCTACCAACAAAACAAAAAAACACAAAAATTAGCCAGGTGTGGTGGTGCATCCCTATACTCCCAGCAACTCAGGGGGCTGAGGTGGGAGAATGGCTTGAGCCTGGGAGGCAGAGGTTGCAGTGAGCTGAGATCACACCACTGCACTCTAGCTCGGGTGACGAAGCCTGACTTTGTCTCAAAAAATACAGGGATGAATATGTCAATTACCCTGATTTGATCATAGCACGTTGTATACATGTACTGCAATATTGCTGTCCACCCCATAAATATGTACAATTCTGTATACATTTTTAAAATCATAAAAATAAGATAATGCACCGTCTCCACCCCTCTCATATTTACTTTCTGAAGGAAATGTTAGGTCTTCTCAAGGTAAAGTTCTATATTTATTATAGCGTTTAGGCATTTCTTGACCATCTAATGAGTGTAAAACTGTACCACTGGGCCAAGTGCAGTGGATCATGTCTGTAATCCTAGCACTGTGGGAGGCCAAGGCAGGAGGATCGCTTGAGCCCAGGAGTTCAAGACCAGCCTGGGCAACATAGTGAGACCCCATCTCTACTTAAAATAAAGAAGATAAAAATTGTTTTAAAAAAGGAAAAGAATGGCTGGCCACAGTGGCTCACGCCTGTAATCCCGGCACTTTGGGAGGTTGAGGTAGGTGAGTCACTTGGGAAAAGACAGAAGGATGGCACCAAGAAGTTCCAGGACGACGGCTGTGAATCAGGGCTAGTGAGCACACAGCTTGGGTGAAGGGGGAATGGGAAAGTTGCTTAGAGAAGCCTCCAAATGTAAGAATGGGTCAATTCCTCGTCTTAACATAGTGGAAAATCATACTGAGATGCTATCAGAAGACAGAGGAAAAATAATTTTAGAGGTCAAGTAAACTAAGTAGATTTTAAAAAGACCAGTATAGCCTAGGCACAGTGGCTCACACCTGTAATCCCAGCACTTTGGGAGGCTGAGGCGGGATCGCTTGAGCCTAAGAGTTCGAGACCAGCCTGGGCAACATGGTGAAACCTTGTCTCATATACAAAAAATATAAAAAATTAGCTGGGTGTGGTACCACATGCCTACTCTCAGGTACTCAGGAGGCTGAGGTTGGGGATCACCTGAGCCCGGGGAGGTTGAGGCTGCAGTGAGCCATGATTGCACCACTGCTGTCAAACCTGGGTGACAGAGTGAGACCCTGCCTCAAAAGAAAATAAAAATAAAAAACAAATATAAACTTTAGGGGAACAATAACAACAACAAAAATAAAAGAAGCAAGTTATATTACCCGAAAATTCTCGGCTGCGAATATCTGTGGGTATAAACATGTGATACTGGCCGGGCGTGGTGGCTCATGCCTGTAATCCCAGCACTTCGGGAGGCTGAGGTGGGCAGATCACGAGGTCAGGAGATCGAGACCAGCTCAGCCAACATGGTGAAACCCTGTCTCTACTAAAAATACAAAAATTAGCCAGTCGTGGTGGCACACGCCTGTAGTCCCAGCTACTCAGGAGACTGAGGCTGCAGTGAGCTGAGATTGCGCCACTGCACTCCAGCCTGGGTGACAGAGTGAGACTCTGTCTCAAAAAAAAAAAATGTGATACTGAATGTTGATATGCAGACATAGAGATAAACATTGGAAGAGAAAAAACAGTAAGAACAACGCTGTAGAATAACTAAGGCCCCGCCTATTATGATAGGAATCCAGTAAGTCTAAGCTCATTCACATGGTTACATGTTTTTAGAAACCTAATATTAACAAGTTCCTAAAGAAAACAGCTAAAAGTGGGTGTCTCTTAGGCGGAGCAATGGAGGAGATGGTTAGTCAGCCACTGCATTTTGTACACACCCTTTTAGTGCTATTGGAATTTTTTAGGTAGGTGCTGTCAGGCCTCTGAGCCCAAGCTAAGCCATCATATCCCCTGTGACCTGCACGTACACATCCATATGGCTGGTTCCTGCCTTAACTGATGACATTCCACCACAAAAGAAGTGAAAATGGCCTGTTACTGCCTTAACTGATGACATTGTCTTGTGAAATTCCTTCTCCTGGCTCATCCTGGCTCAAAAGCTCCCCTACAGAGCACCTTGTGACCCCCACTCTGCCCGCCAGAGAACAACCCCGCTTTGACTGTAATTTTCCTTTACCTACCCAAATCCTATAAAACGGCCCCACCCCATCCCCCTTCGCTGACTCTCTTGTCGGACTCAGCCCACCTGCACCCAGGTGATTAAAAGCTTTATTGCTCACACAAAGCCTGTTTGGTGGTCTCTTCACATGGACGCACATGAAATTTGGTGCCGTGACTTGGATCGGGGGACCTCCCTTGGGAGATCAATCCCCTGTCTTGCTCTTTGCTCTGTGAAAAAGATCCACCTACGACCTCAGGTCCTCAGACCCACCAGCCCAAGGAACATCTCACCAAGTTTAAATTGGGTAAGCGACCTCTTCTTACTCTCTTCTCCAACCTCTCTCACTGTCCCTCAACCACTTTCTCCTTTCCACTCTTCAATCTCTCCCTTCTCTTAATTTCAATTCCTTTCATTTTCTGGTAGAGACAAAGGAGACACGTTTTATCTGTGGACCCAAAACTCCGGCGCCGGTCACGGACTAGGGAAGGCAGCCTTCCCTTGGCGTTTAATCATTGCAGGGACGCCTCTCTGATTATATACCCACGCTTCAGAGGTGTCAGATCACGCAGGGATGCCTGCCTTGGTCCTTCACCCTTAGTGGCAAGTCCCACTTTTCTGGGGAAGGGGCAAGTTCCCCAACCCCTCCTCTCCATGTCTCTACCCCTTCTCCACCTTTCTGGGGGGCAAGAAACCCCCAACCCCTTCTCCTTCACTCTTAGCGGCAAGTCCCGCTTTTCTAGAGGGGCAAGTACCCCAACCTCGTATCTCTGCACCCTGATCCCTTATTTCCATGCCCCAACCTCTTATCTCTGTGCCCCAACCCCTTATATCCATGCCCCAACCCCTTTCCCGCTTTTCTGGAAGGTAAGAACTCCCGAACCCCTTCCCTCCGTGTCTCTACTCTCTCTTTTCTCTAGGCTTGCCTCCTTCACTATGGGCAACCTTCCACCCTCCATTCCTCCTCCTTCTCTCCCTTGGCCTGTGTTCTCAAAAACTTAAAACCTCTTCAACTCACACCTGACCTAAAACCTAAATGCCTTATTTTCTTCTGCAATGCCGCTTGACCCCAATACAAACTGGACAGCAGTTCCAAATAGCCAGAAAACAGCACTTTCAATTTTTCCATCCTGCAAGATCTAAATAATTCTTGTCGTAAAATGGGCAAACGGTCTGAGGTGCCTGACGTCCAGGCATTCTTTTACACATCAGTCCCTTCCTAGTCTCTGTGCCCAGTGCAACTCGTCCCAAATCTTCCTTCTTTCCCTCCTGCCTGTCCCCTCAGTCTCAACCCCAAGCGTCGCTGAGTCTTTCTAATCTTCCTTTTCTACAGACCCGTCTGACCTCTCCCTCCTCCCCAGGCTGAGCTAGGTCCCAATTCTTCCTCAGCCTCCGCTCCTCCACCGTATTATCTTTTTATCACCTCCCCTCCCCACACCTGGTCCAGCTTACAGTTTCGTTCAGTGACTAGCCCTCTTCCACCTGCCCAGCAATTTACTCTTAGAAAGGTGGCTGGAGCTAAAGGCATAGTCAAGGTTAATGCTCCTTTTTCTTTATCCCAAATCAGATAGTGTTTAGGCTCTTTTTCATCAAATATAAAAATCCAGCCCAATTCATGGCTCGTTCGCCAGCAACCCTGAGAAGCTTTACAGCCCTAGACCCTTAAAAGTCAAAAGGCCGTCTTATTCTTAATACACATTTTATTACCCAATCTGCTCCCGACATTAAATAAAACTCCAAAAATTAAATTCCGGCCCTCAAACCCCACAACAGGATTTAATTAACCTCGCCTTCAAGGTGTACAATAATAGAAAAAAGTTGCAATTCCTTGCCTCCACTGTGAGACAAACCCCAGCCACATCTCCAGCACACAAGAAGGGAACTGAACCGCAGCGGCCAGGCGTTCCTCCAGAACCTCCTCCCCCAGGAGCTTGCTACAAGTGCCAGAAATCTGACCACCAGGCCAAGGAATGCCTGCAGCCCAGGATTCCTCCTAAGCCGTGTCCCATCTGTGCGGGACCCCACTGGAAATCGGACTGTTCAACTCACCTGGCAGCCACTCCCAGAGCCCCTGGAACTCTGGCCCAAGGCTCTCTGACTCCTTCTCGGCTTAGCGGCTGAAGACTGATGCTGCCCAATCGCCTCGGAAGCTCTGTAGACCATCACGGATGCCGAGCTTCGGGTAACACTCACGGTGGAAGGTAAGTCCGTCGCCTTAGTCAATACGGAGGCTACCCACTCCACATTACCTTCTTTTCAAGGGCCTGTTTCTCTTGCCTCCATAACTGTTGTGGGTATTGA
Organism: Homo sapiens; assembly: GCF_000001405.40. Classification (NCBI taxonomy): domain Eukaryota; kingdom Metazoa; phylum Chordata; class Mammalia; order Primates; family Hominidae; genus Homo; species Homo sapiens. Next base: position 912,658 of record NW_003571060.1, on the reverse strand, counting down.
CGGCCAGGCTTCTAAACCCCTGAAAACTCCCCCACTCTGGTGCCAACTTGGACAACACTCTTTTATGCACTCTTTTTTAGTTATCCCCACCTGCCCAGTTCCCTTATTAGGCCGAGATATTTTAACCAAATTATCTGCTTCCCTGACTATTCCTGGACTACAGCCGCATCTCATTGCCACCCTTCTCCTCAACCCAAAGCCTCCTTCGCGTCTTCCTCTCCTATTCCCCCACCTTAACCCACAAGTATGGGACATCTCTACTCCTTCCCTGGCAACTGATCACATACCCGTTACCATCCCATTAAAACCTAATCACCCTTACCCTGCTCAATGCCAATATCCCATCCCACAGCACACTTTAAAAGGATTAAAGCCTGTTATCACTCGCCTGCTATAGCATGGGCTTCTAAAACCTATAAACTCTCCTTACAATTCCCCCATTTTACCTGTCCAAAAACCGGAAAAGTCTTACAGATTAGTTCAGGATCTGCGCCTTATCAAATTGTTTTGCCTATGCACCCTGTGGTGCCCAACCCCTACACTCTTTTGTCCTCAATACCTTCCTCCACAACTCACTATTCCATGCTTGATCTTAAAGATGCTTTTTTCACTATTCCCCTGCACCCCTCGTCCCAGCCTCTCTTCGCTTTCACTTGGACTGACCCTGACACCCATTAGGCTCAGCAAATTACCTGGGCTGTACTGCTGCAAGGTTTCACAGACAGCCCCCATTACTTCAGTCAAGCCCAAAGTTCATCCTCATCTGTTACCTATCTCGGCATAATTCTCATAAAAACACACGTGCTCTCCCTGCTGATCGTGTCTGACTGATCTCTCAAGCCCCAGCACCTTCTACAAAACAACAACTCCTTTCCTTCCTAGGCATGGTTAGCGCGGTCAGAACTCTTACACAAGAGCCAGGACCACACCCTGTAGCCTTTCTGTCCAAACAACTTGACCTTACTGTTTTAGCCTAGCCCTCATATCTGCGTGCTGTGGCTGCCGCTGCTTTAATACTTTTAGAGGCCCTCAAAATCACAAACTATGCTCAACTCACTCTCTACAGCTCTCATAATTTCCAAAATCTATTTTCTTACTCACACCTGATGCATATACTTTCTGCTCCCTGGCTCCTTCAGCTGTACTCACTCTTTGTTAAGTCCCACAATTACCATTGTTCCTGGCCCGGACTTCAATCTGGCCTCCCACATTATTCCAGATACCACACCTGACCCCCATGACTGCATCTCTCTGATCCACCTGACGTTCACCCCATTTCCCCACATTTCCTTCTTCCCTGTTTCTCACCCTGATCACACTTAGTTTATTGATGGCGGTTCCACCAGGCCTAATCGCCACACACCAGCAAAGGCAGGCTATGCTATGGTACAAGCCACTAGCCAGCCTCTTAGAACCTCTCATTTCCTTTCCATTGTGGAAATCTATCCTCAAAGAAATCACTTCTCAGTGTTGCATCAGCTATTCTACTACTCCTCATGGATTATTCAGGCCCCCTCCCTTCCCTACACATCAAGCTCAAGGATTTGCCCCCGCCCAGGACTGGCAAATTAGCTTTACTCAACATGCCCCGAGTAAGATAACTAAAATACCTCTTAGTCTAGGTAGACACTTTCACTGGGTAAGTACAGTCCTTTCCTACAGGGTCTGAGAAGGCCACCGCAGTCATTTCTTCCCTTCTGTCAGACATAATTCTTCAGTTTAGCCTTGTCATTCCCTTCTGTCAGACAAAATTCCTCAGTTCAGCCTTCCCACCTCTATACAGTCTGCTAACAGACCAGCCTTTATTAGTCAAATCAGCCAAGCATTTTTTCAGGCTCTTAGTATTCAGTGACAGACTAATGGTCTATTAAAAACACACCTCACCAAGCTCAGCCACCAACTTAAAAAGGACTGGACAATACTTTTACCATTTTCGCTTCCAGAATTCAGGCCTGTCCTTGGAATGCTACAAGATACAGCCCATTTAAGCTCCTGTGTAGACACTCCTTTTTATTAGGCCCCAGTCTCATTCCAGACACCAGACCAACTTAGATTGTGCCCCAAAAAACTTGTCATCCCTACTATCTTCTGTCTAGTCATACTCCTATTCACCGTTCTCAACTACTCACACATGCCCTGCTCTTGTTTACACTGCCAGTTTACACTGTTTCTCCAAGCCAGCACAGCTGGTATCTCCTGGTACTATCCCCATACCGCCACTGTTAACTCTTAAAATAAATAAATAATCTTTGCTGGCAAGGCTATGCTGAACCTCCTTAGGCACTTTCTAATTAGATGTCCTGAGTCGTCCCAATTCTTAGACCTTTAATACCTGTTTTTCTCCTTTCCTTATTCCCTTTAGTTTTTCAATTCATACAAAACTGTATCCAGGCCATCACCAATAATTCTAAATGACAAATGTTTCTTTTAACAATCCCACAATGTCACCCCTTACCACAAAATCTTCCTTCAGCTTAATCGCTCCCACTTTAGGTTCCCACGCCGCCCCTAATCCTGCTCAAAGCAGCCTTGAGAAACATCACCCATTATCTCTCCATACCACCCCCAAAAATTTTTGCTGTCCCAACACTTTACCCCTATTTCATTTTATTTTTCTTATTAATATAAGAAGACAGGAATGTCAGGCCTCTGAGCCCAAGCTAAGCCATCATATCCCCTGTGACCTGCACGTACACATCCAGATGGCCGGTTCGTGCCTTAACTGATGACATTCCACCACAAAAGAAGCGAAAATGGCCTGTTCCTGCCTTAACTGATGACATTGTCTTGTGAAATTCCTTCTCCTGGCTCATCCTGGCTCAAAAGCTCCCCTACTGAGCACCTTATGACCCCGACTCTGCCCGCCAGAGAACAACCCCCCTTTGACTGTAATTTTCCTTTACCTACCCACATCCTATAAAACGGCCCCACCCCTATCCCCCTTCGCTGACTCTCTTGTCAGACTCAGCCCACCTGCACCCAGGTGATTAAAAGCTTTATTGCTCACACAAAGCCTGTTTGGTGGTCTCTTCACACGGACGTGCATGAAAGGTGCGTGTATATTTTTGTAACACAATAAATAATAACAGTATACACTTTTTCTTTTAGAAGTATGCTGTTAAACAGAATTAAGAACAGGAAGTCTCAAAATTGTTTCTTTCAGGAGAGAAGACTTATTAATGGGGGAGAGTTCTGAACCACTTGCTTTGCATACTGCCACTTAGTTAAAAAATCGCATTTTAACTTAAAAATATCCAAAAATAACACAGTTTTATAATAAATTATTACGAATATCACAAAATAATAAAAATACAAGTAATGCAGAGTGGAAATGCAAAGCTATGAGTGCTAGACGGCTAACAAGTCATAACAAACAACACCAAAATTAAAGAACAAGATAGTTGTGACTTACCTTGGTCAATCACTTTCCATAGTAGTCATTCAATCCAGGATCTCATCTCTGAAAATGAAGGAAAAAAGCAACAGAAAATAGTGTAGAGGTCTCTGGTGTTCCAAGAATAGGCGCTGCAGAGAGATGTGGGTGCCTGGGCTGTGCCCAGTCACTGAAATGGCACACCTGATGCTACCTGTTCACTTCGGGCTGAGCAGGAGAGAGAAAAGACGTTCCCCTCAGCCACTTCCCGTCTTCTGATTTCACTTCTTGCCTGCCTCCGACTGCAAATCCTGGTTTGACGTCACTTCCTGTCTTCTGATTTTACTTCCTGTATGACCTCACTTCCTGTCTTCTACAACCACTTCCTGTCTTCTTACTTCACTTCCTGTCTTCTGACTTTACTTCCTGTATGACTTCACTTCTTGTCTTCTACCACCACTTCCTGTCTTCCGAATTTACCTCCTATCTTGACTTCACTTCTTGTTTTTTTTTTTTTTTTTTGACAGGGTCTCGCTCTGTCTCCTAGGGTGGAGTGCAGTTGTGCCAGCTTGAAACCACCTTTCCAAAATTATGACTGAGACAGTGAAAGAGATTTAACTGACTCCATTTTGCTTCTAACCTCCAAGCTGTCCTTTTTCATTCCTGGGCATAGGCTGAACTTTGGGAGAAACTTATAGTTTAAACAAAGATGATAGCCCTTTTCCAAAGCACACCTCTTTGTTGCCTGGGGACTAGATTGGCCCTGTAGGACGAACATTAGCCACGAGATTAGAAATTATGACTTAGGAGTCATGCAGCTGGAGGCTACAAGATTGTGACCCTCCCTAAACTGCTTCTAAGATCAGCGTTTAACTTGCAGACCCTGTACTTGATGGATCAGCTGGCACCACCCATATCAATAAACTGGCCCATCTTATCTTTTGGCCTCCACTCAGGAACTGAGTGCAAGAAGATAGCTTTGGCTCCCACGATTTCATCCCTGACCAAACAGCACTCCTGGCTCACTGGCTTCCCACCCACCCACCAAGTTATCCTTAAAAACGCTTCCTGAATGCTGGGAGACACTGATTTGAATAATAATAAAACTCTGGTCTCTCGTAGAGCCAGCTCTGCATGAATTATTCTCTATTGCGATTCCCTGTCTTGACGAATCAGCTCTGTCTAGGCAGTGGGCAAGGTGAACACATTGGACTATTACAATCTTGGCTCACTGCAACCTCCACCGCCTGGGTTCAAGTGATTCTCCTGCCTCAGACTCCCAAGTAGCTGAGATCACAGACGTGCACTACCATGCTCAGCTACATTTTTTTTTCTGTCCCCCGGGCTGGAGTGCAATGGTGCGATCTCGGCTCATTGCAACCTCCGCCTTCCGGGTTTAAGCGATTCTCCTGCCTCAGCCTCCAGAGTAGCTGGGATTACAGGCATGCACCACCAAGCCTGGCTACTTTTGGTATTTTTAGTAGAGACAGGGTTTCACCATGTTGGCCAGGCTGGTCTCAAACTCCTGACCTCATGTGATCCACCTGCCTCTGCCTCCCAAAGTGCTGGGATTACAGGTGCGATCCACCATGCCCAGCCCATTCCGTCTTCTGACTTGACTTCCTGCCTGACTTCACTTCCTGAAGGATGTGGTTACCATGGAAGTTGTTTTGGGGCACAGGATGTGGTCTGGGATTGGGGATTGTGAAAAGCAAGACCCTCACCGGGGTCTTTCTTCCAGAGCTGCAGCTGAGCCACAGGATCTTGAACAGGAGAGAGTTCTTCCTATTCTTGTGGAAGAGCTGAGGATTGAGAAAAGCGCGGCTTAGCTCATGGGAGTGACCTTAGCTTTGAGAAGCCTGAAAATGAGGCTTGGAGGTAGAGAGTGGTGTGTGTGTGTGCGCGTTGGGGGAGGGGGTCAGGCTCTCATGACTTCTGGCTCTTTTTTTTGCTCCAGGAACATTTCCCAAGCCCACCATCTGGGCTAACCCAGCCCTCGTGGTTCCTGGGTGCAAACATGGCCGTGGAATTGTGGAATGGTTTTTTTTGTATCCTTAGCAGAGAACCCAGTGAATACTTTGTTCTTGATCATCAATGTGATGAGATCCAGAGCAAGCAAGTGCTAATGCTGCTGTGAGCCTGAGGCCACATTTTCAGAATTCAGTGATGGGCGGAGGCGAGTGGTCACAGGTATAGGGAGAGCAGTACTTGTTCATCTCTGAACGTATAGATTCAGACACACATGAACCCATGTGCCACAGGTTTCCCTGTTTAGGACTTGTAGGTCATGGGGGTGGGCATCTGAGAGTGTGGCTACATGAAATACACACGTTGGAGAAAGATGGTTAATTGTGAGTGCGAGTTTACATTTCATGGGCCCCTGGGGTGTCGATAGTTCCTCAATGGATGTAGATCCGTTACTCAATTTCTTCTCTAAAGATGGGGCTAGATTACAATGGTTCTCAACCTAAGAAAACTTTGCATTTCAGGAAATATTTTCTACTGCCCAGAGACATTTTTGATCACTGTTAACTGTGAGGATGTGAGCTGGTATCTAGGGGGTAGAGGCTAGGGATGGTGCCGAACACCCTGGAAATGTACAGGACGTTTCCCAACGAGTAGTGATCCGATCCCAAATGTCAATAGTGTGGAGAAGGAGAAACCTTTAGTTTCTTCACGCAATGTCCTTTTTAAACTTTGTGCCTCTCTTTTTACCAACCTTCCCCCTTCTTCCCGCTGAAACTGAGAATAAAGATGCTCTGGAGGCCGGGCACGGTAGCTTATGTCTGTAATCCCAGCACTTTGGGAGACCGAGGCAGGCAGATCGCTTGAGGTTAGGGGTTCGAGACCAGCCTGGCCAGCGCGGTGAAACCCTGTCTCTACTAAAAATGCAAAAATTATCCGGGAGCCTGAGGCAGAATTGCTTGAACTTGGGAGGCAGAGGCTGCAGTAAGCCGAGGTCACACCACTGCACTCCAAACCGGGCAATGGAGCGAGACTGTCAAAAAAAAAAAAAAATGCTCAGGGAATGACCCATGCCGCATTGAACAAGGACACCTTGAACCAGGAAACCTCAGAAGCCCACACTGTATGCAGTGGAACTGGAAAGTGATGGAGTGGTTTAAAGGTAGTATCAGAGAACTTGGATCTAGTCGGTGGGAATAAACCAATAGCCCCTGATGAAGAAATGAAAGTAGGAAGAGAGATTAACTTTTTTAGTTTTAAATTTAAATATTAAAACTACTTTTGACCAGGTGTGGTGGCTCATGCCTATAATCCCAGCATTTGGGGAGGCCAAGGTGGGCAGATCACCTGAGCTCAGGAGTTCAAGACCAGTCTGGACAACGTGGCAAAACCCTATCTCTACCAAAAATGCAAAAATTACCTGGGTGCAGTGGTGCACACCTGTGGTCCCAGCTACATGGGAGGCTGAGATGGGAGAACTGCTTAAACTGGGGAGGTGGAGGCTGCAGTGACCCGAGATCGTGCCATTGCATTCCAGCCTGGGTGAAAGAGCAAGATTCTGCCACCAAAAAAAAAAAAAAAAAAAAAAAAAAAAAAGAAAAAAATGTTGCCAGGTGCGGTGACTTATACCTGTAATCCCAGCACTTTGGGAGACCAAGGCTGGTGGATCACCTGAGGTCGGGAGTTCGAGACCAGCCTGACCAACATGGAAAAACCCCGTCTCTGCTAAAAATTCAAAATTAGCCAGGCTTGGTGGCACATGCCTATAATCCCAGCTACTCAGTAGGTCGAGGCAAGAGAATCGCTTGAACCCGGGGAGGCGGAGGTTGCAGTGAGCCAAAATCGTGCCATTGCACTCCAGCCTGGGCAACAAGAAGAAACTGTCTCAAAACAAACAAAAAAAAACATGATTAGTGTTTAATAAAAATTTGTACTGTTCTTTTTCCCCCTTACCGTCCATTTGTTTGCTCATCCAGTAAACACAGACAGCAACAAAGTCTCCCCATGAGAAGCAACTTTGCCAACTAGTGTTGTCTTTATAGTACAGTTCGTTTTGTTTGTGGTTTTACAGCGTAGAGCTTGCACTGCTGCTTTGTTGAATTTGGAATTCTGTATCACAAGGAAATAATGGAGACTCTATAGTGAAAAACTATGCATACCATGAGATTTTGTTTTTTTTTGGAGAAGGAGTCACTCTGTTGCCCAAGCTGGAATGCAGTAGTGCAGTCTTCAGCACAGTGCAACATCCACCTCCTGGGTTTAAGCAATTCTCCTGCCTCAGCCTCCCAAGTAGCTGGGATTACAGGCATGTGCCACCATGCCTGGCTAATTTTTTATATTTTTAGTAGAGACGGGGTTTCACCACGTTGGCCAGGTTGGTCTCCAACTCCTGACTTCGTGATCCACCCACCTCAGCCTCCCGAAGTGCTGGGATTACAGGTGTGAGCCACCGTGCCTGGCCGAGATTCTATTTTAAGTTAGAATTTTTAAAAAGCAAAATCAGAGCAATGACATGGTCATATATGAGCTACACCGAAGCACCTAAAATATTGTAGATTGGTAGGAGAAATCCTCTGGCAAGTAATACTCAGCAGGCAGTGATCCACGCAGGTCAACAAGTAACAAGACAGGCTAGGCACAGTGGTTCACACCTGTAATCCTAGCACTTTGGGAGGCTGAGGCAGGAATATTACTTGCGCCTGGGAGTTTGAGATCAGCCTGGGCAACATAGTGAGACCCTGTCTTCAAAAAAAATCCCACAAAAATTGGCCTGGTTTGGTGGTGTGCACCTGTAGTCCCAGCTACTGAGGAGGCTGAGGCTGGAGGATCGCTTGAACCTGGGAGCTTGAGGCTGCAGTGAGCTATCATCATGCTGCTGTATTCCAGCCTGGGCAACAGAGCAACACTCATGCTTGAGGAAAAAGAAAAAGAAAAAAAAAAAAGCCGGGTACAGTGGCTCATGCCTGTAATCCCAGCACTCTGGGAGGCTGAGGTGGGTGGATCACTTGAGGTCAGGAGTTTGAGACCAGACTGGCCAACATGGTGAAACCTCATCTCTATTAAAAATACAAAAAAATTTAGCCGGGTGTGGTGGGGGATGCTTGTAATCCCAGCTACTCAGGAGGCTGAGACAGGAGAATCGCTTGAACCTGCCAGGTTGTAGTAAGCTGAGATCGTGCCAGTGTACTCCAGCGTGGGCAACAGAGTGAAACTCAGTCTAAAAAAAAAAAAAAAAAAAAAGAAAAGAAAAAAGAAAGGAAATACCAAGGCAAGGCAAAGATTGACAAGGCAATAGAAATCAATGCAATTAAACACTGTCACTTCCCCCACCCCCCAGGTTCTACCCAGTAAGATATCTTTTCTCTAACTTGTCAAAGCCCATTATTAAGTAACAGCTTCATTTGTGAATGCTCTCACCTTTATTTCTCTCAATATACCCGTGATACAGATATTTCATATGTAACAAAGATAAGGATGTGTGCAGGTATAAAACAGAGGCAGAATCATGGCTAAAACATCTAGCCCAGCAATGAACTCATTATCCCTGAGGGGTAGGGGCCGGGGAGGAGAGGAGTCACAGGCAGTTCACCAACACCTGGAAAATCGATGACTTCATGGAGAATGAATGACTCGGGGGGATTCAGATCATGAAGTCATGAGAAGAAGGCCTTTCTGCCCAGGGATGATGTTTCTCAGTATCAATAATCAGTTGTGGGTTTTTTTCTTCTATTTCTTCCAGCAGCTTATTGAGTTCATCATTAAAGTCATCGATTTTCAACCTGGGGTACAATGGGGGAAGAAAAGGTTACTTTGTGCATCAAGGAGATTTGTTTCAAATTCCCAAGTACCTGAAAGTCTGTTAAGGAGGCACAGGGCATGGGTCACCTTTCCTGATTATTCTAGGTGGCAAAGGAGTGTTCCACATTGATTTTTTTTTTTTTTTTTTAAAAGACAGTCTCAGGTGGGGCGTGATGGCTCACGCCTGTAATTCCCAGCACTTTAGGAGGCTGAGGCGGGTGGATCACGAGGTCAGCAGATCAAGACCATCCTGGCTAACACGGTGAAACCCTGTCTCTACTAAAAAAATACAAAAAATTAGCCGGGCGTGGTGGCGGACGCCTGTAGTCCCAGCTACTCAGGAGGCTGAGGCAGGAGAATGGTGTGAACCCGGGAGGCGGAGCTTGCAGTGAGCCGAGATCGTGCCACTGTACTCCAGCCTGGGCGATCTCAAAAAAAAAAAAAAAAAAAAAAAAAAAAAAAAAAAAAAAGACAGTCTCTCTGTTGCCCAAGCTGGAGTGCAGTGGTACCATCTCAGCTCACTGCAACCTGTGCCTCTTGGGTTCAAGCCATCCTATCCTCTGCCTCCCGAGTAGCTGGGACTACAGGCACCTGCCACCATGCTCAGCTAATTTTTGTATTTTTAGTAGAGTTGGGGTTTTACCATGTTGCCTAAACTGTACCTGGCTTGATTTGCTTATTTTTTATTTTTAAATATAAAATGAGGCCAGATGTGGTGGGTCATGCCTGTAATGCCAGCACTTTGGGAGAGTGAGGTGGGCAGATCACTTGAGGTCAGGAGTTTGAGACCAGCCTAGGCAAGATGGTGAAAGTCCATCTCTACTAAAAATATAAAAGTTAGTTGGGTGTGATGGTGCATCCCTATAATCCCAGCTACTCAGGAAGCTGACACAGGAGAATCACTTGAACCTGGGAGGCGGAGGTTACAGTGAGCTGAGATCGGGCCCCTGCACTCCAGCCTGAGCAATAGAGTGAGATTTTTGTCTAAAAAATAAATGAAGTAAATAATAAAATGTAATATTAAAGACTTTCATTTCTCTTTTTAATCCTTTTTTTCATTCCTCTTATTCTCAACCATGTTGATCTGATAGAGAAAAACATAACATCAGGTTAACCTTGTAATGGTATATAGCCATTGTGCAGTTTGAGATGCTTGTTGATTATCATACACAGAAAATGGAATTGCTGAGTACAGCTGGGCTATAGCTCTAATACCTGCTTACCCGCTCTATCACCCACTTTGGCAACTTCTACTCAGTGGACCCCGGAGTACCAGTTAAACAGAGGAGATGCAGGCCAGGCATGGTGGCTCACGCCTGTAATCTTAGCACTTTGGGAGGCTGAGGCAGGCGGGTCACCTGAAGTCAGGAGTTCGAGACCAGCCTGACCAATATGGAGAAACCCTGTCTCTATTAAAAATACAAGATTAGCCAGGTGTGGTGGCACATGCCTGTAGTCCCAGCTACTTGGGAGGCTGAGGGAGGAGAACCTCTTGAACCCGGGAGGCGGAGGTTGCAGTAAGCCGAGATAGCGCCATTGCGCTCCAGGCTGGACAACAAGAGTAAAACTCTGGCCGGGCGGGGAGGTGGGGGGGTCAGCCCCCCGCCCAGCCAGCCGCCCTGTCCGGGAGGTGAGGGGCGCCTCTGCCCGGCCGCCCCTAATGGGAAGTGAGGAGCCCCTCTAACCGGCCAGCCGCCCTGTCCGGGAGGGAGGTGGGGGGGTCAGCCCCCCATTTTGTTCTGTACTAAGAAAAATTCTTCTGCCTTGGGATCCTGTTGATCTGTGACCTTACCCCCAACCCCGTGCTCTCTGAAACATGTGCTGTGTCCACTCAGAGTTAAACGGATTAAGGGCGGTGCAAGATATGCTTTGTTAAACAGATCCTGAAGGCAGCACGCTCGTTAAGAGTCATCACCACTCCCTAATCTCAAGTACCCAGGGACACAAACGCTGCGGAAGGCCGCAGGGTCCTCTGCCTAGGAAAACCAGAGACCTTTGTTCACTTGTTTATCTGCTGACCTTCCCTCCACTATTGTCCTATGACCCTGCCAAATCCCCCTCTGTGAGAAACACCCAAGAATGATCAATAAAAAAAAAAAAAAAAAAAAAGGAAAAAAAAAAAAAAAAAAGAAAAAAGATGCACCCCAAAAAAAAGAGTAAAACTGTCTCCAAAATAAATAATAAATAAACAAACAAACAAACTTAAAGCTTAAAAAAACCCTTAGTGTCCATATGTCTTTTGACTTACAAAGTATCTTAGGCTGAGTTTCATGTTAAATAAACAAGTAATCTATGTTTCTTCTACATAAAGATTATTTTAAGCCAGCAGTAGAGTATATTGCTTGTGAGAATTTCTGAAGTTCCCACATTCCTAGGAAGGGGCTTCTTGGTTCTTTGATGCCATGGTATCAAAATACAACTCAGGCCGGGTGCGGTGGCTCATGCCTGTAATCCCAGCACTTTGGGATGCTGAGGTGGGCAAATCACGGAGGTCAGGAGTTTGAGACCACCCTGGCCAACATGGCAAAACCCTGTCTCTACTAAAAATACAAAAATTACCTAGGTGTGGTGGTGCATGCCTGTAATCCCAGCTACTTGGGAGGCTGAAGCATGAGAATAGCTGGAACCTGGGAGGTGGAGGTTGCAGTTAGCAACCACTGCACCCCAGCCTGGGCAACAGAGTGAGACTCCATCTCAGAAAAAAAAAAAAAAAAAGAAAGAAAAAACAAAACAAAACCCCAAAACCCTGACAAAATGCAACAAACAAAACACAGCCCAGTGACAAATGGCTATCATGAGCAGGTAGACGGCAGCCGTGGCTGGGTGCAATGGTTCATGCTTATAAACCTACCTACTCAGGAACTGAGGCAGGATTGCTTGAGCCCAGGAGCTGGAGCGAGCCTGCAGCGAGCCATCATTGTGCTGCTGGACTCCAGCCTGGGGAACATAGTGAGTTCTTGCCTCAAAGGAAAAAAAAAAAAAAGGTGGCCGGGTGCGGTTGCTCACGCCTGTAATCCCAGCACTTTGGGAGGCCGAGGCGGGCGGATCACCTGAGGTCAGGAGTTTGAGACCAGCCTGACCAACATGGTGAAACCCCGTTTCTCCAAGTGAAATACAGAAATTGGCTGGGTGTGATGGCGGGAACCTGTAATCCAGCTACCAGATCAGTCTCCTACAGCAGGTCCATGTCATTATGCTTCCCCTAAACCTACCACTCTGGAGAAAGCCTGATGGGGAAGTAAATGGATCATACCTGAGTGTCCGGAGGGTGCCACTGGAACATGTCAAGGTTTCAAACAGCATCTTCACTCCACTAGACCCCAAGGGATTCTGACCCAGGTCCAGAGTGACGAGGCTCTGGTTGCAGCTGAGGGCAGAGCAGAGGTCTTCACAACTGAACGGAGGGATGGAACATCCCCACAACCTGGGGAAACACAGAAATCAACACGTTAATGCAGCCAGTGCTGATCGATGCCCTCCGGCAAGCCAAGCCCACCCTCGTGTGTTGGGGATCTGCATGACCAACAGAAGTCTCAGGCCGGGCACGGTGGTTCACGCCTGTAATCCCAGCACTTTGGGAGGCCGAGGTGGATGGATCACCTGAGGTCAAGGAGTTCAAGACCAACCTAACATGGTAAAACCGTGTCTCTACTAAATATACAGAAGTTAGCTGGGCGTGGTGACAGGCACCTGTAATCCCAGCTACTCAGGAGGCTGGGGCAGGAGAATCGCTTGAACCCAGGAGGCGGAGGTTGCAGTGAGCCGAGATCGCGCCATTGCACTCCAGCCTGGGTGACAGAGTGAGACTCCGGTCTCAAAAAACAAACAAAACGTCTCCGCCCTCAGGGCTCATCTGCTAACAGGAAAATATGGAGGCGATGAGGGGTTCTGAAGGGCAAGGGGTACAGGGAATAACTGGGGGTTCTGGCTACAATGGTTGGAGGTGAGGGGGTGAAGAGACCGAGTCATAGAGCTCGGGGGGGAGTTCTCCAGGCAGAGAAATAGCTTGTGCAGAGGCCCTGAAGATACATGTGACTGACACGTAAAATAGAACATCCAGGCAGCGGGCATGAGTGAGACAGGGAGGATTGTCAAGATGAGGTCATAGGTAAGCAGTGGCCAGCTCACAGAAGACCCTGAAGCCATCGTCAATATAGGATTTTACCTGGATTGACATAGGGAAGCACTGAGGCTTTTGAGCAGAGAGGTTAAATAACTTCCATCTTTGAAGTTATTCTTTGAGACAGTCTTGCTCTCTCGCCAGGGCTGGAGTGCTGTGGCATGATCTCGGCTCACTGTAGCCTCTGCCTCCTGGATTCAAGCAGTTCTCGTGCCTCCAAGTAGATGAGATTATAGCTATGTGCCACCATGCCTGCCTGATTTTTGTGGTTTTAGAGAGACAGGGTTTCACCTGTCTCTTTAGTAGAGACAGGCTGGTCTACGAACTCCTGACCTTAGGTGATCCACCTGCCTCGGCCTCCCAAAGTGCTGGAATTACAGGCATGAGCCACTGCACCCTGCCACTTTATTTTTTGAAACACGGTCTCACTCGGTTGCCCAGGCTGGAGTGTGGTAACGCCATCTTGGCTCACTGCAGCCTTGACCTCCTGGGCCAACCAGCAACTCAAACTTTTTGCTCCTCTACACGTGTCAGTGAGTGATTAAAAAGGCGCCTTTGTTTTTTTTGTTTTTTTTTTTTTTTTGAGACAGGATCTCACTGTCACCCAGGCTGGAGTGAGGTGACGTGATCTCAATTCGCTGTAACTTCTTCCTCCCAGGCTCAAGTGATCCTCCCACCTCAGCCTCCTGAGTAACTGGGAGCAGAGGTACACAGCCATGCTCAGCGGATTTTTGTACTTTCAGTAGAGACAGGGCTTCATTGTGTTGGCCAGGCTGTTTTTAAATTCTTGGCCTCAAGCAATCTACCTGCCTTGGACTCCCAAAATGCCAGGATTACAGGCATGAGCCACCTTGCCCATCCCGAGTCAAATTCTTTTAAGATTGCCTCCCAGATAGGATTCCAGGTTCAAGTGCATCTGATTGTAGCTAACTCACAAGGTATTTGTAAGATAGCCAAGTTGAGACCACTCACCTGCTGATAGAGCCAGCATTTTCTGGCACGATATCTAATTCCTACCTCTTTTTTATTTTTTCCTGAGATGGAGTCTTGCTCTTGTAGCCCAGGATGGAGTGTAGTGACAGGATCTCAGCTCACTGCAACCTCTGCCTCCAGGGTTCAAGTGATTCTCCTGCCTCAGCCTCCCAAGTAGCTGGGATTAAAGGCACCTACTGGCTGGGCACGGTGGCTCTCACCTGAGGTCCGGAGGTCGAGACCAGCCTGACCAACATGGAGAAACCCCGTCTATACTAAAAATACAAAATTAGCCAGGCATGGTGGCACATGCCTGTTTATTTGCAGCTATGTGGGAGGCTAAGGCAGGAGAATCACTTGAACCCAGGAGGTGGAGGTTGCAGTGAGCTGAGATCGCGCCATTACACTACAGCCTGGGCAACAAGAGTGAAACTATCTCAAAAAAAAAAAAAAAAAAAAAAGAGGCACCCACTACTATGCTCGGCTAATTTTTATATTTTAGTAGAGATGGAGTTTCAAGTTGGCCAGGCTGGTCTTGAGCTCCTGACCTTAAGTGATCCGCCCGCTTCGGCCTCCCGAAGTGCTGGGATTACAGGTATGAGCCACTGTGCCTGGCCCAATTCCCACCTCTCTGAATGTGGGGTGCTGGGCAGTGGCTTTTGGCTGAATGGCTTGAGGCACTGTATCCTTAAAATTTCACAGGTGTTCTTTGCATGACACAGACTAGAACTTAGACATAGGGCCTGGCGCAGTGGCTCACGCCTGTAATCCCAGCACTTTGGGAGGCCGAGATGGGCGGATCACCTGAGGTCAGGAGTTTGAGATGAACCTTCAACATGGCGAAACCCTGTCTCTACTAAAAATACAAGAATTAGCTGGGCATGGTGGCGGGCGCCTGTAATCCCAGCTACTCGGGAAGCTGAAGCAAGAGAATTGCTTGAACCTGGGAGGCGGAGGTTGCAGTGAGCCAAGATCACGCCACTGCACTCCAGCCTATGTGACAAGAGCAAAACTTCAAGAAAAAAAAAAACAAAAACTTAGACATAGACTAGAACTTATTCCTTTAACCATCCTAGTAAATGCTCGATCGACTCTATAAAGGTCCTCTCAATTATATAACTTGGGAAGTCGGCTTCACTGATTATTTTACACTAGCCACAGATTCAGTAAGGTGTAAGTATAGGAAGTTGAACTTATAAGTTAACTCACCACAGACATCTCAAGTTGCACAGTGGTTTCCTCAAAGCCTCACACAGGAACTTCATTCCCTTAACTCCTATGTGATTCAGCCCCAGATCCAAACACAACAGGCTTGATTTTTCTTGGAGAAGCTTTGTGAGATCGCAGCAGCCATCGCTAGTTATGTCGCAGTTCCAAAGCCTAGAAATCAACCACAGGAAGAAAGCAAACCCGAACCTGTGAGTTCTCACTGCTGTGATGCACCTTTGACTCTTGAGCCGTGGGTTAGACACACTTAGAGACAGTGGTGACATGGAAATGGAATCATGGGGTGGTGTGGTGGACAGAAGAATGGCCTCCCCTAAAGATGTCCAAGTCCCAACTCCTGGCACCTGCGAGCAAAAGGGACCTCGTAGAGGTGACTGAGCATCTTAAGATGGTTTATATCCTGGTTTATTTGGGTAGGTCCAGCAATCACAGGGATCCTCATAAGAGGGAGCTGAGAGTCAAAGCCAGCAGGAGGTGACGTGATAAGGGAGCCAGGGCAACGTTTGAAGATGCTCTGCCGAAGTTGGAGGAAGGGCCACAAGCCAAGGAATGCAGGTGGCCAACAGAAGTTGGAGAAGTAAAAAGGATTCTCAGCTGGCACGGTGGCTCACTTCAACCTCCGCCTCCTGGTTTCACGCGATTCTTGTGCCCCAGCCTTCCGAGTAGCTGGGATTACAGGGGGGTGTGTGTGTGTACACACATGCGCGTGCCACCACACCCAGCTAAGTTTTGTATTTTTAGTAGAGACAGGGTTTCCCCATGTTGGCCAGGCTGGTCTTGAACTCCCGACCTCAGATGATCTGCCCACCCTGGCCTCCCTAACATGCTGGGATTACGATTGTATTTGCTAAATTCAGTTGCTAGAGAGGTAGTGTCTTACAGGCAGAAGACACCAGCTCACACTCCAACATATCTGGTACTAGGATCCTAGATATTAACCAACACAGATTATCAGAGATATTTCACCTTAGCTCTGTTTTCTTTCTTCTGTCTCAATAGAGTTCTAAACTTAATTATAATTTGAACTATAATGCCCATGTATCTCTGGGTCCCAAGTGAAGCATACCACTAGCTGAGGGACACAGGACCTGGAAGGGCCTTGGAAATAGATGGCAGATTGGAGTCCATGACGATGGAGAAGTGAAAACACACCCCCAAATCTTGAAACTTTATGAATGTATAGAAACTTTTTTTTTTTTTTTTTTGAGACAGTCTCGCTCTGACACCCAGGCTGGAGTACAGTGGCACAATCTCAGCTCACTGCAACTTCCGCCTCCCAGGTTCAAGCAATTCTCTGCCTCACCCTCCCAAGTAAGCTGGGATTACAGGCTCCGACACCACGCCTGGCTAATTTTTGTATTTTTAGTAAAGACAGGGTTTCACCATGTTGGCCAGGCTGGTCTTGAACTCCTGACCTCATGATCCACCTGCCTCGGCCTCTCAAAGACCCTACCCGGCCTTCTAGAAACTTCCATGACTGTAATGGAGGAAAACCCACATAAGACTAAAGGGAAGTTGACAACTTAGCAAAATAGGGGCATGGATCAAAAAGTTGAATTGAGGGGGCCGGCACGGTGGCTCACACCTGTAATCCCAGCACTTTGGGAGGCTGAGGTGGGTGGATCACCTGAGGTCAGGAATTCGAGACCAGCTTGACCAACATGGTGAAAACTCGTCTCTACTAAAAATACAGAAGTTAGCTGGGCATGGTGGCATGCACCTTAATCCCTGGGAGGCTGAGGCAGGAGAATCACACCTGAACTCAGGAGGTGGAGGTTGCAGTGAGCTGAGATGGAGCCACTGCATTCCAGCCTGGGCGACAGAGCAAGACTATCAAAAAAAAAAACCAAAAAAAAAAAAAAAGAAAACCCCCCCCCAAAAAAATACCACACACACCACACACCACACACACACACAACCAAAAAAACTAGACATTCATTTGAAGATACAGTTAGTGAGTCGGTGACATCTCACTGCTTGTGGGACTTCTTTTTTAGTGTTTCAGGGCCTAGATATAGTGGGTGTGG
Organism: Homo sapiens; assembly: GCF_000001405.40. Taxonomy (NCBI): domain Eukaryota; kingdom Metazoa; phylum Chordata; class Mammalia; order Primates; family Hominidae; genus Homo; species Homo sapiens. Next base: position 895,176 of record NW_003571060.1, on the reverse strand, counting down.
GAAGAATCCTTTCCTTCTACTCATCGTCTCCAGCCATGAACTGAATATGTCATTAAATTTAAGTGGGTAGTTTTCAGATGCCAGGTACATATCCTAGATTAGTTACTTCATAGGAAGAGGACAGTTCCTAACTGTTGGAGGTGATGTTAGAGACAAAGAATACCAGAGATATGTATGGCTGGACGCAGTGGCTCATGCCTGTAAATCCTAGCACTTTGGAAGGCTGAGGCGGGCGGATCATGAGGTCAGTTCGAGACCAACCTGGCCAACATGGTGAAATCCCATCTCTACTAAAAATATAAAAATTAGCCCGGCGTGGTGGTGAGTGCCTGTAATCCCAGCTACTCAGGAGGCTGAGGCAGGAGAATCAACCTCCTTGAAGCCGGAGGTTGCAGTGAGCCTAGATCATGCCATTGCCAGCATGGGCAAGAGTAAAACTCCATCTTAAAAAAAAAAAAAAAATACCAGAGATGTTAACATAAAATCGAATCTCTGAACAGAAACCATCAGTGCAGATACAATTTTTTTTTTTTTTTTTGAGACAATCTCGTTCTGTCACCCAGGCTGGCACGATCTCGGCTCACTGCAACCTCCCGACTTCAAGCGATTCTCCTGCCTCAGCCTCCCAAGTAGCTGGGATTACAGGACCATACCACCACGCCTAGCTAATTTTTGTATTTTTAGTAGAGACAGGGTTTCACTGCATCAGCCAGGCTGGTCTCAAACTCCTGACCTCAGGTGTTCTGCCCGCCTCCTAAAGTGCTGAGATTACAGGCATGAGCCACCATGCCAGGCCCCAATTCCTTTCTAAAGATTTGTCCTATAATTTTTTTTTTTTTGAGAGAGTCTTGCTCTATTGGCCAGACTGGACTTCAGTGGTGCCATCTCAGCTCACTGCAACCTCCACCTCCCAAGTTCAAGTGATTCTCCTGCCTTAGCCTCCTGAGTAACTGGGATTACAGGCATGTCCCACCATGCGTGACTAATTTTTGTATTTTTAGTAGAGAGACAATGTTTCACCATGTTGGGCAGGCTGGTCTTGAACTCCTGCCCTCAAGGGATCTGCCTTGCTTCGGCCTCCCAAGGTGATGGGATTATAGGCGTGAGCCACTATGCCAGGCCACGTGTCCTGTGATTTTAGTATTAACAGGAGGATCACATTGAGCATGTAGCTTCCAATAGCTTCCATTGGGAGTCTGAGCGTACACTGGCCCAGAAGACTACCTGATTTGCAAATCATTCATTAAAAAATAAGTAAATGATTCCATTTACAACCAATTGCGTGCAATTTATGTTACAGTTATAGTTCTAAGAACACAGATTAAGAGAAAACACAGCATGGGGTGACATGGCTCATGCCTGTAATTCTAGCACTTTGGGAGGCCAAGGCAGGCAGATCTCTTGAGCTCAGGAGTTTGAGACCAGCCTAGGCAACACGGCGAGATCCCATCTCTAAAATACATACATACATAAAGAGGAAAAAAAAAAACCCGAAAACCAGCTACATTCCCCAAATCCCTATAGAATATTACTACTACTCTACTACTACTTATACTTTTTTCCTACCATCATCTACCCAGGTCTTACCAGTTGTCATTAGCATCATGCTTGGAACTTTTAGAGGAATTAAGTGTTCTCATAACCACCCTACTCAAACCCGGAGGTGGGGGGCGTGTGCATATACACCCACGCACACAGGCAGCCAGCACGGACTTACACCAAGGTCTGCAGTTTACACTCGGGGTACCTCAAGCCCTCACACAGAAACTTCACCCCTGTATTCCCAATGGGGTTCTTGGCCAAGCACAGGTGTGTCAGCTCCCGGCTGACAACCAACACAGCAGCAAGGTCCTTGCAATTGGCTTCTGTAAGGTGACAGTTTTCCAACCTAGAAAAGAATCACAAATGGCAACACGGTTGACATGTCCAACTTCAACCTTCCCGGCTAGCTCCACAAGTGCCAGCATCCAAAAGCCCCTTCTTGTGAACTCCCCACCTTCTATCATGCACTGGTGATCCTATGAAGGAATAGGAATGAGAGAAGAACAAAATTCACAGGCCATCGGCCTGGATCTAAACATGGGAACAGGTGTTCACATCAGCGAGAGGTTCCATACAGCCAAGTCAGGCATGACCATTGCTCGTCTGTGGCCCCAGATCGAAAGCACAGCTGCTCTGGAAGAGAGGAGAGACTTACGACAACCTCTGCAGAAAGCACTTGGGGTGTCTCAAAGTTGTGTACAGCAACTTAGCACCCTCATCCAGAAGCTCATTGTCGGAGAGGTTTACGCACGTCAGGGACTGGTTGACTTCAAGGGCCAAGGAGAGATCAGCCCACTGCTGAGTGGTAGCGGAACAAGACACCAACCTGTGGGAGAAATAGGACCACGTCATTTTTTTTTTTTTTTTTGAGACTGAGTCTCACTCTTGTTGCCCAGGTGGTGCAATCTCGGCTCACAGCAACCTCCGCCTCCTGGGTTCAAGTGATTCTCCTGCCTCAGCCTCCCGAGTAGCTGGGACTGCAGGCATGCACCATGCACCACCATGCCCAGCTAATTTTGTATTTTCAGTAGAGGTGGGGGTCTCTCCATGTTGGTCAGGCTGGTCTCAAACTCCCAATCTCAGGTGATCTGCCCACCTCGGCCTCCCAGAGTGCTGGGATGACAGGCGTGAGCCACCGCGCCCGGCAGAACAAGTCATTCTTGAGAATCTAACCGTGGAATCGTCTTTGGTTTACATCTCACTGGTTGTGTTATACCCCGACTTGAATTATCTGGAGCAGCAGTTGTCAAAGGGTGGTCAGACCAGTGGCACCAACATCGCCCAGGAATCAGCTGGAAATACAGAACTTAGTCAATCTGACTCTAATGTTGGATGCAGACTCCGCTAACCTATGTTTCATTGTTTGGTTTTTTGAAAGGGAGTTATTTATGCTCTGTCGCCCTGGCTGGAGTGTAGTGGCGCGATCTCAGCTCACAGCAACCTCTGCCTCCTAGATTCAAGAGATTCTCCCGCCTCAGCCTCCTGAGTAGCTGGGATTACAGGCAAATGCCATCTTGCCTGGCTAATTTTTGTATTTTTTAGTAGAGATGGGGTTTTACCATGTTGGCCAGGCTGGTCTCAAACTCCTAACTTTGGCCGGGGCAATGGCTCATGCCTGTAATCCCAGCACTTTGGGAGGCCGAGGTGGGCAGATCAGGAGGTCAGGAGTTTGAGACCATCCTGGCCAACATGGTGAAACCCCGGCTCTACTAAACATACAAAAGTTAGATGGGCGTGGCGACACGTGCCTGTAGTCCCAGCTACTCAGGAGGCTGAGGCAAGAGAATCACTTGAACCCAGGAGGCGGAGGTTGCAGTAAGCCGAGATCACTCCACTGCACTCTAGCCTGGGCGACAGAGCAAGACTCCGTCTCAAAACAAAAAACTCCTGACTTCAAGCGATACACCAGCCTAGGCCTCCCAAAGTACTGGGATTACAGGCAGAAGCCACCATACCCAGCCCACTAACCTATGTTTCAAGGTGCCCTGTTCATCCGGAAAATGTGTTAGAATAAATTCATAAGAAATGAGTGGCTGGGCACAGTGGCTCATGCCTGTAATCCCAGGACTTTGGCAGGCCAAGGCAGGTGGATCATGAGGCCAGGAGTTTAAGACCAGCCGGAACAACATGATGAAACCCCATTTCTCCTAAAAATACAAGAATTAGCTGGGCGTGGTGGCACATGGCTGTAATCCCAGCATTTTGGAAGATGGATGTCACTTGAGGTCAGGAGTTCGAGACCAGCCCAGCCAACACGGTGAAACCCCGGCTCTACTAAATATACCAAAAATTAGCTGGGTGTGGTGGATTGCCCGAGGTCAGGAGTTTGAGACCACCCTGGCCACCAGCATGGCGTAACCCTGTCTCTACTAGAAATACAAAATACTAGAAATACAAAAATACAGGTGGGTGCCTGTAATCCCAGCTACTTGGGAGGTTGACGGAGAAGAATCACTTGAACCCGGGAGGCAGAGGTTGCAGTGAACCAAGATTGTGGCACTGCACTCCAGCCTAGAAGACAGAGCAAGACTATATCTTGAGAAAAAAAGAAAGAAATTAGTGACCCAAATCTTTAATTCACCCAATATTCCCCCTCACCCTGCATCCCATTATTCTCAGGCAAAAAGAAAAGAGGGTAATTGCAACGGTTAGTAATGATAGCAGCCACTATTGAATGCATGGGCTTGGTTTCATTCAACCTTCCAATACCTGTAAGATGTACAGCATCCTATTCAACTAAGATCCCATTAAGCAGCCTAAGATTGTATCAGTAGAGCCAGAGCAATCAATTTTTTTTCTGTCCTCGAGATGGAGTTTTGCTCTGTTGCCCAGGCTGGAGTGCAATGGCGTGATCTTGGCTCACTGCTACCTCTGCCTCCTAGGTTCAAGCAATTCTCTTGCATCAGCCTCCATGAGTAGCTGGGATTACAGGCACGCGCCACCATGCCCAGCTAATGTTTTTGTATTTTTAGTAGACGTGGGGTTTCACCATGTTGGCCAGGCTGGTCTTGAACTCCTGACCTTGTGATCCACCTGCCTTGGCCTCCCAAAGTGCTGGGATTACAGGCATGAGCTACCGCACCCAGCCAAGATTTTTATTTTTTTTTTTTGAGACAGTCTCACACTGTTGCCCAGACTGGAGTGCGGTGGTGTGATCTCAGCTCACTGCAACCTCCGCCTCTCAGGTTCAAATGATGCTCCTGCCTCAGCCTCCTGAGTAGCTGGGACTACAGGCGTGCGCCAACATGCCCAGCTAATTTTTGTATTATTAGTAGAGACAGAGTTTCACCATGTTGACCAGGCCGGTCTTGAACTCCTGACCTCAAGTGATCCACCCACCTCGGCCTCCCAGGCGTGAGCCACTGCGCCTGGCCCAGGGCAATAATTTGAGGCCAATGACCACCTACTACACCAGTGTGGCCAAGTGAGGCTTCATGGAACCCCATGATGCATGTAGGTTCTCATCGCCTGGGTAGCCACTGGACAGCTTCCCAAGGGGAGAGCTCTCAAACCAGAGGACTAACAGAAAAGGGGCAACTTGATGTTCCTGAAGGGTTCTTGCTTGAAAAATGTCAATAGCTGGTATTCTGAATCATCATACAGGAGAAGCATGAACCATGAGTGAATGATCTCTGATAGAAGATAAAGATTCTGGGCTGGGCACGGTGGCTCATGCCTCACTTTGGGAGGCCGACGGCGGGGTGGGGTGGGGGTGGGGGGGTAGATCACCTGAGGTCATGAGTTCGAGACCAGCCTGGCCAATGTGGTAAAACTCCATCTCTACTAATAATACAAAAATTAACCAGGTGTGGTGGTGTGCACCTGTAATCCCAGCTACTCAGGAGGCTGAGGCAGGAGAATCACTTGAACCTGGGAGGTGGAGGCTGCAGTGACCTGAGATCATACCAACGCACTCCAGCCTGGGTGACAGAGCGAGACTCCATCTCAAAAAGAAAAAAGAAAAAGAAAAAACCAAAACCAAAACCAAAACATAAGGACTCTGGCTGGGCATGGTGGCTCATGCCTATAATCCCAGCACTTTGGGAGCCTGAGGAGGGCAGGTCACCTGAGGTCATGAGTTCGAGACCGGCCTGGCAATGTGGCGAAACCAGCTCCACTAAATGCACAAAAATTAGCCGGGCGTGGTGGCGGGTGCCTGTAATCCCAGCAACTTGGGAGGCTGAGGCAGCAGAATTACTTGAACCCAGGAGACAGAGGTTGCAGTGAGCCAAGATCGTGCCATTGCACTTTGGCCTGGGCAACAGAGCAAGACTCCATAAAAAAAAAAAAAAAAGATGATAAAGATTCTGGGAGTTTCTTTGGATTCAGGGTCCTCACGTATGGTTGTCCAGGGTGTTTACTGTTCAAGGCAAGTGGAAACTCAAGTTCAGCTCATGCTGCATCCTGGGTCATCTGCCCTTAGTACTGTTTCTAGTCAGAATAACGAACTTTTTCTTATTTACACAAAATTGCCACATAAGCTTGTGGTAGCTTATGTTTGTATGATGAAGGATTTTAATGATTAAGAGATATACCCGAGATATCGCAGGTTACATTCTGGATGTCTCAAGACCTCACACAATGCGGGAAACATATCATCCTGGTCATTGCCTTGAAGGGTCAGATACGTTACAGTCTTGTGACCTCGAAGAGCTAGGCAGAGGTTCCGATGAGCATCAGCTGGGGAAATGTTTTTGAACCTAGGGAAAAGAAAACGAAAGTGAAATCTTTAGTGTGTACACCTGTATCGTACTTAAATGGAAACCAGGGGCTCGATATATTTAAACTTTAGGAACTATTTTTTCCATGTTTAAATTTTTGTCCATCTTTACAGATTTTTTTTTTCTTTGAGATGGAGTCTCACTCTGTTGCCCAGGCTGGAGTGCAGTGGCGCGATCTCGGCTCACTGCAAAGCAAACTCTGCCTCCCGGATTCAAGCGACTCCTACCCTCAGCATCCGGAGTAGCTGGGATTATAGGCACCTGCCACGACACCTGGCAAATTTTTGTATTTTTCGTAGAGACAGGGTCTTGCACCATCTTGGCCAGGCTGGTCTTGAACTCCTGACCTCAAGTGATCCCCCCACCTTGGGCCCCCAAAGTGCTGGGACTACAGGCGTGAGCCATTGTGCCCGGCCCTTTTTTTCTTTTTCTTTTTTTTTTTTTTTTTTTTTGAGACGGAGTCTCGCTCTGTCACTCAGACTGGAGTCCAGTGGCAGGATCTCGGTTCACTGCAACCTCCGCCTCCTGGGTTCAAGTAATTCTCCTGCCTCAGCCTCCCAAGTAGCTGATATTACAGGTGCCTGCCACCACGCCTGGATAATTTTTGTATTTTTAGTAGAGGCAGGGTTTTGTCACGTTGGCCAGGCTGGTCTCGAACTCCTGACCTCAAGTGATCTGTCTGCCTCGGCCTCCCGAAGTGTTGGAATTACAAGTGTGAACCACCATGCCCAGCCCCTAGAAATTACTTTATACGATTATCCCACAAAATAAATTTAAGGACAGGACTCTCTCAATTCCCTGTGTCTCGAGCACTTAAGAGTCTAGTACAGGAATCTGAATATTGCTCCGATGTTAACATTGTACCATTTTCATACCCTAAGGATTTGAGTTCATGAATTAGTTTCTACTTACACCACTCTCTGGAGATGACAGGTGTCAGAGGCTATTTGTTCACACAGGATCCTTACTAGGGAGGCACTGAGAAAGCTATCATTGATTGCTAGACCCATCAGATCCTTATTTGATCCAAATATGGAACAAAGGTCCGTCCAGAAAGGAAGCATGTGCTGATCATCCTGGGATCTATAGGGAAGAGAAGAAAGGGTTACACCAAATGTGTGTCCATCACGGCTGAAGTATTTAGGGTTTCTCTGGGCATATACCCCTGACAAATGAGTACAATTGAAAGCTGGACCATGTAATCACTTATTAGCACCACCATCAGACAACTCAACACCCAAGAAGCATCACAGGAGAAAGAACCTATTCTTCTTAGACAAAAATCCAATAGAGGGTAAAAATAAGTTAAAATGCTAAGCACATCATTGATAAAAGATAGAGAATATAGACCGGGCACGGTGACTCACGCCTATAATCCTAGCACTTTGTGAGGCTGAGGCGGGTGGATCACCTGAGGTCGGGAGTTCGAGACCTGCCTGGCCAACATGGTGAAACCCCGTCTCTACTAAAAGTACAAAAATTAGCTGGGCATGGTCGTGGGTGGCTGTAATCCCAGCTACTCATGAGGCTGAGGCAGGAGAATCATTGAACCTGGTGGGGCGGAGGTTGCAGTGAGCCGAGATCGAGCCACTTCACTCCGACCTGGGAAAAAGAGTGAAACTCCGTCTCAAAAAAAAAAAAAAAAAAAAAAAAAGATTGGGAATATACATATCTATACATATCAATAAGAAATATTCAGGCAGGGCGTGTGGTAACTCATGCCTGTAATCTCAGTGCTTTGGGAGTTCAAGACCAGCCTGGACAACATAGTGAGATTTTGTCTTTCCAAAAAAAAAAAAAAAAAAAAAAAAAAAAAAAAAAAAAAAAACACACACACAAAAAAAACCCCCACTTAAGTTAGCTGGGCATGATGGTGCACACTTAATACCTGTCATCCCAGGTACTCAGGAACATCACTTGAACCCAGAAGTTTGAGGCTGCAGTGAGCTGATTTCACCACTGTACTCCAGCCTGAGCAACACAGCAAGACCCTGTCTTAAAAAAATATATTTGGGCCGGGCATGGTGAATCATGCCTGTAATCCCACTTTGGGAGGCTGAGGCAGGTGGATCACCTGAGGTCAGGCGGAGTTCAAGACCAGACTGGCCAACATGCTGAGATCCCGTCTCTAATGAAAATATAAAAATTAGCTGGGCAAGGTGGCAGGCGCCTGTAGTCCCAGCTACTCAGGAGGCTGAGGCAGAAGAATCACTTGAACCCGGGAGGCGGAGGTTGCAGTGAGCCAAGATCGCGCCACTGCGCTCCAGCCTGAGCGACAGAGCAAGACTCCATCTCAAAACAAAAACAAACAAAGAGCCCAACAAGAGGGAATTCCTGACCCTAAGCCACAGTGCATAGGAGGCTCTGGCCTCTTCCTAAGGGGGCATGGGATGAGGCTAAAGATGGAACGACTGGTAGAGTGAAACGGTTCTCACCTCTCAACCTCGGCGTCTGATTCAGACGCAGTGACATTCTCCGGGAGATTCTCCTTTATTACCTGCAGTGACATTTTCTGCAGGTTTCGACAGTGCTTGACGCAGAATGAAGATGGCACAACGTCTACTGCATTTAAGTGCAGGGATATTTCTTTGAACTGAGCCATCACCTCCTTCACCAGCTCCTCCTCCTGAGACTCGTACAGACAGCCGAGCAGCTCCTGCAGGTCTGTCACCGTTGAATGTCCACCCTTACAACTTATGTCGCATCGCAGCAATTCCTGTTTGATGTCCGGTGACATCCGGCAGCCAAAAGTGGCCTCCAACTCCTTGGCTCTCTTCTCGTTAGCGAGGCCGAAGGAGTAGTAGCCTGCTTGGATCAGGTCGGGGTTCCTGAGTCTTTCTACTCCGGAAAGCAGCTTCTGTACGTCCCCAATGTCCCAGGCGTGGCCGTCCCTATCCTCTTCCTCCTCCTTCTCCAGGGTGTAGAACAGGGCAGTGAGAAACTGCTGGAAGCTGAGGTGGATGAAGGAGTAGCAGCCTTTGGAGACTCTGTCCTGGCGGAGGATGTCTCCGTCCAGGAACAGACGGAGGTCGGACTCCTGCACCCCGAGCCTTTCCAGATCCTCTCGGTGAAGCACGGACGTCTGCGCCCACAGGCCCTGCGCGGCCAGGAGGCTCAGCGTCCGCAGCGCGCCCCGCAGCTGTGCGCCCTGCGGGAACCGGCTGCAGAGGAAACGCAGGAACAGCCCCGTGCGGGTGAGGCAGGTGGGGACCGGGTCCTCCCCCTTCTCCATCTGCAGCTTCAGAGTCGTGCACACGATCCAGCACACCGCGGGGGCCGAGCCCAGCTGGAACAGGGCCGCGTTGCTCCTCATTAGCTCAAAGGCACGCATGGCTTGGTCCTCATCTCCAAAGTGTCTCAGGAAATAGGCCCTCCTGTCCTCCTCCAGGAAGCCCTCCACCCTTATGTAGATCGGCTCCTCCGCCAGGATCCGGAGGTCCCTCAGGGCCCTGGGCCGCGTGGTGACCAGCAGGGCGGCCTTGGGTAACATCACCCTGTTCAGCAAACTCCCCAGGAGGACGGGCACCGGCTTCTTCTTCTCCCAGTCCCCGCAGATGTCCTCGATCAGCGCCCCAGGTGCGGCTCCCAGCTCATCAAAGCCGTCAATCACGAACAAGATTTTCCGTGCTTGGGCTAGGATGTGTGGAATGTCATCCTGCAATTCAGGCCAGTCCCTGAAGACCAGCTCTGCAAAACTGCACGGGCCCAGGCGGCTGAGCTCCCTGCAGCTGAGGTAGAACGCATATTTGAATTTGTGGATGAGGTTGTCCTCTGCCCAGTCTAGCATTAGTTTCTGGGCCAGCGTGGTTTTCCCAAGGCCTGCAGGACCATACAGCACCACCGTGTATGAGAAGGGCCCGGGAAGCACCCTGGGGTTGCTGAATGGGATCAGCATCTTGTATCTCTCAGCCATAACCTGGACCTCTTTGCTATCTCCAGGCCAGCTCTTCCACATCTCCCGGAACTTCGTCTTCAATATATACCTGCACCTATTGTCTTTGTCTTTATCATTGGTGAGGAGGGAAGGGAGAGAGGATGCAATCAGTTACCCATAGGGAAAACCAAAATAACAAAATGCCTTGTGTTGGCCAGGCACAGTGGCTCATGCCTGTAATCCCAGCCCTTTGGGAGGTCGAGGCAGGCAGATCACCTGACATTGGGAGTTCAACACCAGCCTGACCAACATGAAGAAACCTTGTCTCTACTAAAAATAAAAAATTAGCCAGTCATGGTGGCGCATGCCTGTAATCCCAGCTACTCGGGAGGCTGAGGCAGGAGAATTGCTTGAACCTGGGAGGCGGAGGTTGCAGTGAGTCGAGATCACGCCACGGCACTCCAGCCTGGGCAACAAGAGCAAAACTCCGTCTCGATACATACATACATAAATAAATGCTTTGTGTTACATAGGAAAGTTAAGAGGACTTCAAGTTTATAAAGAGAAATCTGATCCCAAGCTCCCTGCAGGAAGATATGGTACAGACCTGGCTTTTTTCCTTTAAAGACTTCTTTACCCAGGCAGATGACATTTCCTTTCGTTTCTGTAAACGCTACAAAATACAAACTCATGTGAGATTGACACAAAATCAGGTGTATTTCCTGTGGAGTCCCAATTAGAGAAAAGGAGGCAGGCTGATGGGGCGGGGGGGAGGGGGGGCACGGGATCAGATAAAGCAAATAAGCTACAAATGTGTTTTCCGGCCAGGTGTGGTGGCTCATGCCTATAATCCCAGAACTTTGGGAGGCTGAGGTGGGGTGGATCACTTGAGCTCAGGAGTTCGAGACCAGCCTGGCCAACACAGAAACCCCATCTCTACTAAAAATGCAAAAATTAGCCAGGCGTGGTGGCGCATGCCTGTAATCTCAGCTACTTGGGAGGCCAAGAGGCTCGAGAATTGCTTGAACCTGGGAGATGGAGGTTGTAGTAAGAGATCGCACTACTGCACTCCACCCTGGGCAACAGAGCAAGACTCCATCTCAATAAAATAAATAAATAAGCTTTCCTCCATGGTTCAGGGCATACAAACAAGAGGAAACAGGTCAGCTATAGGTCTGTTTGAGACAGTCTCACTCTGTTGCCCAGGCTGGAGTGCAGTGGCGCAATCTCAGCTCACTGCAACCTCCGCCTCCCGGGTTCAAGCGATTCTCCTGCCTCAGCTTCCCAAGTAACTGGAATTACAGGCATGTGCCACTGCGTCTAGGCTAATTTTTGTATTTTTAGTAGAGATGGGGTTTCGCCATGTTGGCCAGGCCAGTCTAAAACTGCTGACCTCAGATGATCCACCCACCTCAGCCTCCCAAAGTGCTGGGATTGCAGGCATGAACCACTGCACTGGGCCAGGTCTGCTTTTATGGTCCAGGAGATACGGCCCAAGATGTTTGGCCTTCCTGGCCAGATCACACACAGAGCTCACAAACTCCCTGTTTGCCATGAAACGCCTCAGTTTATCAAACACTTCTGCTGAAAGAAGACCGCAAGTTAAACCCCCTGTTGACATTATCAATCAGCCCAAGCCCTATTCTATAAAATCTGCAGGAAGCTTTGGTCTCCTGGCAGTGAGCTACTCATGACAACCTGCCCGCTGGGGTCTCTCTGCCAATGTCTTTTCCTACTTTCTCCAATAAATCTGCCTTCCTTTACCTACGATTGTCTTCATAAATTTCTTTACCCGCGGCTGGGCGCGGTGGCTCACGCCTGTAATCCCAGCACTTTGGGAGGCCAAGGCGGGTGGATCATAAGGTCAGGAGATCGAGACCATCCTGGCTAACACGGTGAAACCCTGTCTCTACTACAAATACAAAAAATTAGCCGGGCGTGTGGCGGGCGCCTGTAGTCCCAACTACTGGGGAGGCTGAGGCAGAATGGCGTGAACCCGGGAGATGGAGCTTGCAGTGAGCCGAGATTGCGCCACTGCACTCCAGCTTGGGTGACAGAGCAAGACTGTCTCAAAAAAAAAACAAAACAAAACATTTCTTTACCTGCCATGCCACCAGGCACTATTCACCCACATTTCCTGCTGAAGCATGATGATAGAGCAGGCACCACAGTACCCCAAGTCGCACCGAAATTCTTTGTCAAGATTGTGTGCTAGGCTGGGCACAGTGGCTCACGCCTGTCATCCCAGCACTTTGGGAGGCTGAGGCGGACGGATCACGAGGTTAGGAGATCCAGACCATCCTGACTAACACGGTGAAACCCTGTCTCTACTAAAATACAAAAAATTAGCTGGGCGTGGTGGCACACACCTGTACTCCCAGCTATTTGGGAGGCTGAGGCAGGAGAATCGCTTGAACCTGGGTAGCAGAGGTTGCAGTGGGCCAAGATTGCACCACTGCACTCCAGTCTGGGCAACAGAGTGAGACTCCATCTCAAGAAAAAAAAAGATTGTGTGCCAGGAATGACATTGGCCGTGTCTAGAGAGATGAACAGGGCAAACAATTCCTTCAACCAAGTTACTCACCTCTATTATACAGAGCCATAGCAAGAAATACTTGCTGTATCAAAAGTCAATGTGGGCTAGGTACGGTGGCTCATGCCTGTAATCCCAGCACTTTGGGAGGCTGAAGTGGGTGGATCACCTGAGGTCAGGAGTTCAAGACCAGCCTGCCCAACATGGTGAAACCCTGTCTACTAAAAATAAAACTAACAAATGCAAAAATTAGCCAGATGTGGTGGTGGGCGCCTATGATCCCAGCTACTCGGGAGGCTGAGGCAGAATCACTTGAACCTGGGAGGTGGAGGTTGTGGCGAGCCGAGATCACACCATTGCACTCTAGCCTGGGCGACAAGGGCAAAACTCTTTCTCAAGAAAAAACAAAAATGCTACCAGGAAGATAAGAGGGAATGTGGAGTAAGCAAGGCTGATCTGAAACTGATCACAGGCTAGGTGCGGTGGTTCACAGCTGTAATCCCAGCACTTTAGGAGACCGAGGTAGGTGGATCACTTGAGGTCAGGAGTTCTAGACCAACCTGGCTACCCTGTTGAAACCCCATCTGTACTAAAAACACAAAAGTTAGCCAGGCATAGTGGTGGGCACCTATAGTCCCAGCACCTGGGGAGGCTGTGGCAGGAAGACCCCTTGAACCCAGGAGGCAGAGATTGCAGTGAGCCAAGATGGGGCCACTGCACTCCAGCCTGCATGACAGAGTGAGACTCTATTTCAAAAACAAAAAAAACAGAAAAAACCTATCACAAAGTCAGCTCAGGCAAGTCACCTACCCAAAAGACTCAATTTTCTCTGTAAGTTGTTTATATTAAAGTTGTCTGAGCAATGTACCATAAATACATTTATGCCTGTCAATTTTTTTTTTTTTTTTTAAGATGGAGTCTCGCACTGTTGCCAGGCTGGAGTGCAGTGGCACAATCTTGGCTCACTGCAACCTCCACCTCCCGGGTTCAAGCGATTCTCCTGCCTCAGCCTCCTGAGTAGCTGGGACTACAGGCGGGTGCCACCACACCCGGCTAATTTTTGTGTTTTTAGTAGAGTTGGGTTTCACCATGTTGGCCAGGATGGTCTCGATCTCTTGATCCACCCGCCTCAGCCTCCCAAAGTGCTGGGAGATTATAGGTGAGAGCCACCACACCTGGCCACCTGTCAACTTTTAAATAATTTAAAGAAGGCCGGGTACGGTGGCTCTCGCCTGTAATCCCAGCACTTCGGGAGACTTGGGGGTGGGTGGAGCAGATCTCTTGAGGTCAGGAGTTTGAGACCACCCTGAATGAGATGGTGAAACCTGTCTCTACTAAAAGTACAAAAAAAAATTAGCTGGGCGTGGTGGCATGCACCTGTAGTCCCAGCTACTCAGGAGGCTGAGACAGGACAATCACTTGAATCTGGGAGGCGGAGGTTGCAGTGAACAGGGATGGTGCCACTATACTCCAGCCTGGGTGACAAGAACAAGACTTCGTCTCAAAAAAAAAAAAAAAAATTAGCTGGGTGTGGTGGCAGGTGCCTATAATCCCAGCTACTCAGGAGGCTGAGTCAGGAGAATCAGGAGAATCGCTTGAACCTGGGAGGTGGAGGTTACAGTGAGCCGAGATCGCGCCATTGCATTCCAACCTGGCCAACAGAGAAACTGTCTCAAAACAAAAACAAAAACAAAAACTCTCTGCGCTGTGCTCCTAACTTTCTACAAACTGAGTTCTAATTCTCTGCAACGTTCGTTCTTCCCTCTATTCTTACGGAAGGGAGGTTGGCATTCTCCAGGAGACAGTGGGCACATTAAGAATAGTGGAGGAAAAGATTGGAGAGAGATGGGGTTCTTCAAAGGAACAGGAGATAGCAGCAAGAACGGGGGGCTTCCTCAGCTGACTCCAACATTGGAGGTCCTGACACCCACCTTGTGCTTCTGTTTTGAAGCGCTCCAGCATTTCGTCCACGTCTAGAGGTGGTCGTTCTTTCCGTGTTATCCCTGGAGAAAAAGGGCGGCATTACAGGCCTGTTGCTGTGCTGGCAGTGGGACTCCAAGATGGCTCAAGTTGGACCCCTGAGTCTCAGTAGTGAAGCCTAGATTAGGTACTAAAAAGGACGTTGATAAGGTACTGGATGTAAAAGTGAAAGTACATTAGGCCATGATCCCAGGTTTATGTGCCTTTCTGGTGAGAATTCCTAAGTAGTTCAGAACACATGGTGTGAAAGACACACACACACACACACACACACACACACACACACACACAAACTACTCACGCATAAGGCCACTGGAAAGGCTTTGAGGATTAACTGCCTAGTTTTTCTTTTTTTTTGAGATGTAGTTTTGCTCTTGTTGCCCAGGCTGGAATGCAATGGTGTGATGTCGGCTCACTGTAACCTCCGCCTCCTGGGTTCAAGTGATTCTCCTGCCTCGGCCTCCGGAGTAGCTGGGATTACAGGAATGTGCCACCATACCTGGCTAATTTTGTATTTTTAGTACAGACAGGGTTTCTCTACGTTGGTCAGGCTGGTCTCGAACTCCCAACCTCAGGTGATCTGCCTGCCAGGCCTAACCCCCTAGTTTCTGATGAGGTAGATAAATTTAAAATGAACTGGGAAAGAATGTAAGAACAAGGTGGAATCAGCCGGGCATGGTGGCTCATGCCTGTAACCCAACACTTTGGGAGGCCAAGGCAGGCGGATCATGAGGTCAGGAGATCGAGACCATCCCGGCCAACATGGTGAAGCCCCGTCTCTACTAAAACAAAAAATTAGCCGGGCATGGTGGTGTGTTACCTGTAAGTCCCAGCTACTTGCGAGGCTGAGGCAAGGGAATTGCTTGAACCCAGGAGGCGGAGATTGCAGTGAGCCAAGATCGCTCCACTGCACTTCAGCCTGGCAAAAGAGCAAGCGAGACTCCGTATCAAAAAAAAAAAAAAAAAAAAAAAAAAGAGAGAACAAGGTGGAATCCTAATAACAATATCTGCAGCTTAACCCTGGATAATGAAGAGGTGAGTCCATGGAACTCCTGAAAAGATGCTGGGGAGGGAACTGGACACGGGCATGTGAAATTCAGGACAAAGGCTGATCTGAGAAGAGCCTTTAGAGTCTTCACCACCAGGTGAGGTGGCTCATGCCTGTAATCCCAGTACTTTGTGAGGCTGAGGCAGACAGTTCATTTGAGGTCAGCAGTTTGAGACCAGCCTGGCCAACATGGTGAAACCCTGTCTCTACTAAAAATACAAAAATTAGCCAGACGTGGTGGTAGGCGCCTGTAATCCCAGCTACTTGGGAGGCTAAGGCAGGAGAATCACTTGAACCTGGGAGGCGGAGGCTGCAGTGAGATTGTACCACTGCACTCCAGCCTGGGTGACAGAGCAAGACTCTGTCTCAAAAAAGGTCTTCATGAGACCAGGCGCAGTGACTCACACCTGTAATCCCAACACTTTGGGAGGCTGAGGCACGTGGATCACGAGGTCAGGAGTTCAAGACCAGCCTGGCCAACATGGTGAAACCCCATCTCTACTAAAATTACAAAAATTAGCTGGGCTTGGTGGCAGACACCTATAATCCCAGCTACTCGGGAGGCTGAGGCAAGAGAATCACTTGAACCGGGAGGCGGAGGTCAGAGGTTGCAGTGAGCTGAGATCATGCCACTGCATTCCATCCTGGGCAACAGAGTGAGACTTTGTCCAAAAAAAAAAAGTCTTCATGGCCAGGTGTGGTGAATCATGTCTGTAATCCCAGCACTTTGGGAGGCCAAGGTGGGAGGATCACTTGAGACCAGGAGTTTGACACCATATCTGGCAACATAGTGAAACTGTCCCTACCAAAAATACAAATATTAGTCAGGTGTGGCAGTGCACACCTGTAGTCCCAGCTACTCAGGAGGCTGAGGTAAGAGGATCTCTGGAGCCTGGAAGGTTGAGGCTGCAATGAGCTATGACTGTGCCACTGCAATCAAGCCGGAGCAACACAGCAAGACCCCATCTCAAAACACAATCTTCAGGGGCCGGGCGCGGTGGCTCACGCCTGTAATCCCAGCACTTTGGGAGGCCGAGGCGGGCGGATCACAAGGTCAGGAGATTGAGACCATCCTGGCTAACACGGTGAAACCCCGTCTCTACTAAAAACACAAAAAAATTAGCCAGGCGTGGTGGTGGGCGCCTGTAGTCCCAGCTACTCGGGAGGCTGAGGCAGGAGAATGGCATGAACCCGGGAGGCGGAGCTTGCAGTGAGCCGAGATCACGCCACTGCACTCCAGCCTGGGCAACAGAGAGAGACTCTATCTCAAAAAATAAAAAATAATAATAATCTTCAGGATATAAGTAGCTGGTAAGGGCCAGGTGTCATGGCTCACACCTGTACCCCAGCAGTTTGGGAGGGTGAGGCAGGAGGACTGATTGAGTTTAGTAATTCGAGGCCAGCCTGGGCAACATAGCAAGACCCTGTCTCTACAAAAAGTGAAAAAAATTAGCCAGGCATGGTGGCAAGTGCCTGTGGTCCCAGCTACTCAGGAGGCTGAGGCAGGAGGATCACCAGAGCTTGGGAGGTCAAGGCTGCAGTGAACCATGATTGCACCACTCCAGCCTAAGTGACAGAGTGAAGCCCTGTTTCAAAAAAAAAAAAAAAAAAAAAAAACAAAACCGGGTGTGGTGGTGGCTCATGCCCATAATCCCAGCATTTTGGGACGCTGAGGTGGGCAGATCACTTGAGGTCAGGAGTTCAAGACCAGCCTGGCCATCATGGTGAAACCCCATCTCTACAAACACCACAAAAAATTAGCCGGGCCTGGTGGCAGGTACCTGTAATCCCAGCTATTCTAGAGGCTGAGGCAGGAGAACTGCTTGAACCCAGGAGGTAGAGGTTGCAGTCAGCCGAGGTCGTACCACTGCACTTCAGCCTAGGTGACAGAGCAAGCCTCCATCTCAAAAAAGAAAAGTCTCTAGCTTATCCAGATTCAAAGGCCAAGCTTACCCTTCCCCGCTTTGTATGTATTTATAGATTTCCAACAAACGCGATCGTGTTTCAGCTTCCCAGGTCTTACTGCTACGCACCTGCGAGACCAGCTCCGCCCTGGGAGCAGGGATGCTAAGTCCGGCATTTCTTTGCATTCTTAGTGCTCAGCACATTCTCCTTAAAACAAAGGCCCGAGTCCCCAGATCTCACATGAAGAATAAAAGTTATAAATGAGGTAACTTACCTAATGATAGAGGCTTCCTTTTATTAAAGGATTTCAAAGCTGCTTCTGAAAAAGGAGAAGGGGGGAAAATTTTGCATTTTACCATAAGCTCAAGATTTTATTGCCTTCATAAAAGAAAAGATGACACTTAGAACTGGATCACTTGTTCCTTTCTCTTATCTCCTTCCAGTTCAAAATGCTTGCATCTTTTTTTTTTGAGACAGAGTGTCACTCTGTTGCCCAGGCTGGAGTGGCACAATCTTGGCTCACTGCAACCTCTGCCTCCCAGGTTCAAGCGATTCTCCTGCCTCAGCTTCCTGAGTAGCTGGGACTATAGGCATACACCACCATGCCCAGCTAAGTTTTGTATTTTTAGTAGAGATGGGGTTTCACCATTTTGGCCAGGCTGGTCTCAGACTCCTGACCTTGTGATCCGCCCACCTCGGCCTCCCAAAGTGTTGGGATTACAGGCGTGAGCCACCGCGCTTGGCTGCTTGTATCTTTTAATAGCCAGCATTCTTAGATCTGCAGTTGGGCTCAAGGCACTCAAGCCTTAGCACAATCTTCTTTGTAGTTTTAGCCTTTTTCCGGAAAATCGGCTTAGTCTGCCCACCATAGCCACTCTGCTTCCTGTCATAACACTACTTCCCCTGGGCATACCAAGAATCCTTGCCTTGTGTCACTTTGTGGGGGTGGTGCTTGCCACACTTCTTACAGAAAGTCCGGCGGGTTTCAGGAACATTCACCATGTCTGTGTGAGCGCTATTGGCATGGAAAGAAAATTTGTATCTTTTTCAGAGCCCAGACCTTCGTAAGTTTACAACTCTCTGGGTTTCCTCCTGCCGTTTTCAAACTTGTAACCTCCGGAGGTCAGCTAAAGTTAAAAACCCTTGGCCGGGCATGGTTGCTCACACCTGTAATCCCAGCACTCTGGGAGGCTGAGGTGGGCAGATCACCTGAGGTCGGGAGTTCGAGACCAGTCTGGTCAACATGGTAAAACCCTGTCTCTACTAAAATACAAAAATTAGCGGGCATGGTGGTAGGCGCCTGTAATCCCAGCTACTCTGGAGGCTGAGGCAGGAGAATCACTTAAACCTGGGAGGAGGAGGTCACAGTGAGCCGAGATCGCGCCATTGCACTCTAGCCTGGGAGACAAGAGTGAAACTTCGACTCAAAAGCAAAACCAAAATCCAAACCAAACCAAAAAAAAAAAAAAAAAAACCCTCACCCATTGTTAAAGACAGGAAACATTATGCTAAAAAGTGATCTCTAGCTGAAATAAAACTGGCAATTTTTAAATAAAAAGATAGGAGTTCCTTAAGGTTGAGGAGTATTCCATTGTGTAATTAATACCATGTTTGTTTGTTTTTTTTTCTTGAGATGGAGTCTTGCTGTCACCCAGGCTGGAGCGCAGTGGCACGATCTTGGCTCACTGCAACCTCTGACTCTCTGGTTCAAGCAATCCTCCTGCCTCAGCCTCCCAAGTAGCTGGGACTACAGGAGTGTGCCACCACGCCCGGCTGATTTTTTTATATTTTTAGTAGAGACAGGGTTTCACCACATTGGCCTGACTGGTCTCAAACTCCTGGCCTCAAGTGATCCACCCGCCTTGGCCTCCCAAAGTGCTGTGATTACAGGCGTGAGCCACTGTGCCCGGCCTACCATGTTTCCTTTTTAAGGCTTGGGGTCCCAACAATCTCATAACCCAGGCAGTAGGCAGGGTACCCAACGGGCACATTTTTTATTCATCCACTGATGGTCACTTAGACTGACTCTATATCTTGGTTACTGTAAATAAAGCTGCACTGGCCAGGCACTGTGGCTCATGTTTCTGATCCCAGGACTGTGGGAAGCCAAGGCAGGAGGATCGGTTGAGCCCACAGAAGTTCGAGACCAGCCTGGGCAACATGGTGAAACCCTATCTCTACAAAAATATATATATATACAAGAATGAGCGAGGTGTGGTGGGAGGCCATAGTGGTAGGATTGCTCAAGTCTGGGAGGTCAAGGCTGCAGTGAGCTGTGATTGCCCCATTGTACTCCAGCCTGAGCAAGAAAACGAGACCCCGTTTCAAAAAAAAGTGTAGCTGGGCATGGCGGCTCACACCTGTAATTCCAGCACATTGGGAGGCTGAGGCGGGTTGATCACGTGGTCAGGAGTTCAAGACCAGCCTGGCCAACATAGTGAAACCCCATCTCTATTAAAATACAAAATTTAGCCAGGCACAGTGGCAGGTGCCTGTATAATCCTAGCTATTCAAGAGGCTGATGCAGGAGAAACACTTGAACCCAGGGGGCGGGAGTTGCAATAAGCTGAGATTGTGCTGCTGCACTCCATCCTGGGTGGCAGAGTGAGACTTGTCTCAAACAAACAAAAAAAAAAGTTATGGGGTAGAAAGTAGAGTAGTTCTAAATGCACTTGCTGGCTGGGTGCGGTGGCTCACGCCTGTAATCCCAACACTTTGGGAGGCCGAGGCGGGCAGATCATGAGGTCACGACATCGAGACTATCCTGGCTAACATGGTGAAACCCCATCTCTATTTAGAATACAAAAAAAAAAAAAAAAAAAAAATCAGCCAGGCATGGTGGGACATGCTTGTAATCCCGGCTACTCGGGAGGCTGAGGCAGGAGAATCGCTTGAACCCGGGAGGCGGAGGTTGCAGTGAGCCGAGATCGTGCTGCTAAATTCCAGCCTGGGTGACAGAGTGAGATCCTCTCTCTCAAGAAGAGTTAAATAACCATAGTTCATGTGCATTTTATTGTATTGTTATTTTTAATTGTCTTTGCCCCCATTATTTTTGATCTAGGATTGGTTAAATCCACAGATATGTTAGGCCAACTGTACGATACCTGAAAGCGATAGAAATAGGTAGAAAATAATTTACAAGAAAAAAACAAACAACCCCATCAAAAAGTGGGCGAAGGACATGAACAGACACTTCTCAAAAGAAGACATTTATGCAGCCAAAAAACACATGAAAAAATGCTCATCATCACTGGCCATCAGAGAAATGCAAATCAAAACCACTATGAGATATCATCTCACACCAGTTAGAATGGCGATCATTAAAAAGTCAGGAAACAACAGGTGCTGGAGAGGATGTGGAGAAATAGGAACACTTTCACACTGTTGGTGGGACTGTAAACTAGTTCAACCATTGTGGAAGTCGGTGTGGGGATTCCTCAGGGATCTAGAACTAGAAATACCATTTGACCCAGCCATCCCATTACTGGGTATATACCCAAATGACTATAAATCATGCTGCTATAAAGACACATGCACACGTATGTTTATTGCAGCATTATTCACAATAGCAAAGACTTGGAACCAACCCAAATGTCCAACAATGATAGACTGGATTAAGAAAATGTGGCACATATATACCATGGAATACAATGCAGCCATAAAAAATGATGAGTTCATGTCCTTTGTAGGGACATGGATGAAATTGGAAACCATCATTCTCAGTAAACTATCACAAGAACAAAAAACCAAACACCGCATATTCTCACTCATAGGTGGGAATTGAACAATGAGATCACATGGACACAGGAAGGGGAACATCACACTCTGGGGACTGTGGTGGGGTGGGGGGAGGGGGGAGGGATAGCATTGGGAGATATACCTAATGCTAGATGACGAGTTAGTGGGTGCAGCGCACCAGCATGGCACATGTATACATATGTAACTAACCTGCACAATGTGCACATGTACCCTAAAACTTAAAGTATAATAAAAAAAATAATAATAAAATAAAAAATAAAAAAATAAAAGGACAAAAAAAAAAAAAAAAGAAGTAGGTAGAAAATAAGGACCAGGACAGACACCAGGGTTTATGAAGATCCAGCACCTGCATTCAGAACAAGCAGTCCCTCTCCAAGCCTCAATGCCATTTCTTTTTTTTTTTGAGACAGAATTTTGCTCTTGTTGCCCAGGCTGGGGTGCAATGGCGTGATCTCGGCTCATAGCAACCCCCGCCTCCTAGATTTAAGTGATTCTCCTGCCTCAGCCTCCCGGAGTAGCTGGGATTACAGGTGTCTGCCACCACGTCCAGCAAATTTTTGTATTTTTAGTAGAGATGCTGTTTCATCACCATGTTGGTCAGGCTGGTCTCAAACTCCTGACCCTCAGGTGGTCCAACCGCCTCAGCCTCCCAAAGGGCTGGGACGACAGGCGTGAGCCAGCGCGCCTGGCCTTCTGAATTTCTAAAGTCCTGGAGAGGACGCCTGCTTCCTCCTAGGACACAGTGTGGACCGATTTCCGCTCACCTCTGACTTCATCCTTTGCTCTCTCAGACAGATCCATTCGGTGCATCTTTTCAAAGACCTGGAGGCTCGCCATCTCCACCCAGTAGCTGTCACAATGGGTGGTGAGGATTTCTACCAGTTGCTTCCCATCAGCCTTGTCTACCTCCTTGTGGGGGATCTTCTGGAGCTCGTGTGCCAGGGAGAAGGTCGTGATCAGATACTTGAACTTGCTCAACTCATCCTGGCTGAGCTGCTCCAGGAGAGCCTGCAGGTTGAAGCCCATCTGTGCCGAAGACACCATCTTGTCCCACGTGGGAGCTGTGATGACAATCAAGGGAGGAGTGGAGAGGGATGGTGATTAGCACTCCTGTCTCAAATGCCAGTTCCTGCTGTGCCACGAACAAGGACACTCACCATCTACCCTGCTTCTTCAAGAACAAACTCCCAGCCTGGGCAACATAGTGAGACCCCCATCTCCATGAAAAATAAGTTAGCAGTGGGTGGTGGTACATGCCTGTAGTCCCAGCTACTCAGGAGGCTGCAGTGGGAGGATTGCTTGAGCCTGGGAGACTGAAACTGCAGTGAGCCTTGATTGTGCCACTGCACTCCCATCTGGGCAACAGAGCAAGACCTCAACTCATTTTACTTTTATTTACTTATTTTTGAGATAGTTTCACTCTGCAGCCCAGGCTGGAGTACAGTAGTACGATCTCAGCTCACTGCAACCTCTGCCTCCCAGGTTCAAACAGTTCTCCTGCCTCAGCCTCCCGACTAGCTGGGATTATGGGCACCCACCACCACGCTCAGCTACTTTTTGTATATTTTTTTTTTTTTTTTTTGAGACGGAGTCTCACTTTGTCACCCTGGCTGGAGTGCAGTGCTGCAATCTCGGCTCACTACAACCTCTGCCTCCCGGATTCAAGCAATTCTCCTGCCTCAGCCTCCCAAGTAGCTGGGATTACAGGCATTCACCACTGTGCCCAGCTAATTTTTTTGTATTTTTAGTAGAGATGGGGGGTTTCACCAAGTTGGCCAGGCTGGTCTCGAACTCCTGACCTCGTGATTCACCTGCCTCAGTGCCCAGCTAGTTTTTCTAATTGCAAAATAACCAGCTACTGTCAGGGTTTTCCCTGAGGGGCTGCTCAGGTTCTAAAAGTTAACCTATAAAGCGAAAACACTCTCTCATTATAGCAAAGTAGTAACACAACCATGAAAGGACAAGCATAGATCAGATAAGGAACTGGGGAGCTACGTGGATCACCCAGGAGACAAGAAACTTCGTGAAAACTGGGCTGAATATGATAATGCAAACACACAGCCGGGCGCGGTGGCTCACGCCTGCAATCCCAGCACTTTGGGAGGCCGAGGCGGGCGGATCGTGAGGTCAGGAGATCGAGACCATCCTGGCTAACACAGTGAAACCCCGTCTCTACTAAAAATACAAAAAATTAGCCGGGCGTGGTGGCAGGTGCCTGTAGTTCCAGCTACTTGGGAGGCTGAGGCAGGAGAATCGCTTGAACCTGGGAGTGGGAGGCAGAGGTTGTGGTGAGCTGACATGGCGCCACTGCACTCCAGCCTGGGGCGACAAGAGTGAAACTGTCTCAAAAAAAAAAAAAAAAAAAAAAAAAAAGGCTTAAAGATAACTTAGTGGTGGAGCCTGGTCTCAGGACACAGGTGTGTGGCTTTTACTTTACTGAAGCTGGCCGGGGGGCCATGGCTCACACCTGGAACCCCAAACACTTTGGGAAGCCAAGGTGGGAGGATTGCTTGGAGTTTGAGACCAGCCTGGGCAACATGGCAAAACCCTGTCTCTACAAAAAAATACAAAAAAAAAAAAATTGTGCTGGGCATAGTGGCATGCACCTGTAGTCCCAGCTACTGAGGAGGCTGAGGTGGGAGGATCACCTGAGCCAGGGAAGTTAAGGCTGCAGTGAGCTGTGATCGCACCACTGCACTCCAGCCTGGTAAAACAAACAAAAACACAACACTGGGGGTGGTGGCTGACGCTTGCAATCCCCGCACTTTGGGAAGCTCAGGTGGGTGATCACTCCAGTCCAGAAGTTCCAGACCAGCCTGGCAACTTAAGACCCTGTCTCTATTTTAAAAACAACAACAGGGCCGGGTGCGGTGGCTCACGCCTGTAATCACAGCACTTTGGGAGTCCAAGGTGGGAGGATCACCTGAGGTCTGGAGCTTGAGACCAGCCTGGCCAACATAGTGAAACCCTATATCAACTAAAAATACGAAAATTAGCCAGGTTGGTGACAGGCGGCTGTAGTCCCAGCTACTTAGAAGGCTGAGGCACGAGAGTTGCTTGAACCTGGGAGGTGGAAGTTGCAGTGAGCTGAGATAGCGCCACTGTACTCCAGCCTGGGAAACAGAGCTAGACTTTGTCTCAAAAAAAAAAAAAAAAAAAAAAAAATAGCAGTAGCAACAAAAACTTTACAGAAAGGGTATAACACCTCTTTATATGATAGCTGTGAATAGCGTGAGAATGGCAACTGGCATAGGTATTTGCATAAGACTCAGGTCCGGAAGCTGGACTAGAATGATGCTAAGAGGCTCCCTCACCTCAGTGAATAAAAAACAATACCTTCTTGTTAAGAGGACTCATTAGACACAAAACCTTAGCACTGCCCAGGACTCCACACACAGCAACCACAGCATCTGACCTGTTCCAATATATTTTTTTTTTTGGAGCTCTCTATAGCTCTATCCTAAATCCCCCAAGAGAACAGAAATAAAAGCACACACAACTATCCTCTTATGAGCCAACCTTAACTAGAGTCTCTCTAGATCTAAGCATCTGCTACTCTTTCCCCAGTCAGAACCACTGAATTTTATTTTATTTTATTTTTTGAGACAGTTTCTCTCTTGCTGCGCAGGCTGGAGAGCAATGGTATGATCTAGGCTCCCCGCAACCTCCGCCTCCCGGGTTCAAGTGATTCTCCTGCCTCAGCCTCCTGAGTAGCTAGGATTACAAGTATGCGCTACCACGCCCACCTAATTTTATATTTTTAGTAGAGATGGGGTTTCTACATGTTGGTCAGGCTGGTCTCGAACTCCCGACCTCAGGTGATCCTCCCGCCTCGGCCTCCCAAAGCGCTGCGATTACAGGCGTGAGCCACTGAGACAGGCAGAACCACTTAATTTCTAACAGAAGAAAAGATTTAGGCCGGGCGCGGTGGCACCTGCCTATAATCCCAGAATTTTGGGAGTCTGAGGCAGGAAGATCGCTTGAGCCCAGGAGTTAGAGACCAGCTTCGGCAACATATTAAGACCCTACATCTAGTGAGTCTCTGCAAACAGTGGTAATAATAATATTATTAGCCAGAACAGATGTGGTGGCACCCTCCCACGGTCCCAGCTACTTCAAAGGCTGAGGCGTGAGGACTGCTTGAACCTGAGAGGTCAAGGGTTCAGTGAGCCGAGATCCTGCCACAGCGCTCCAGCCTGGGAAACAGAGTAAGACCCTCAAAAAAGAGAAGAAAAAAAAAAAAAAAAGGCTGGGCGCGGTGGCTCACGCCTGTAATCCCGGCACCTTGGGAGGCCGAGGCGGACTGAGACCAGCCTGGCCAACATGGTGAAACCCCGTCTCTACTAAAAATACAAAAAAATTAGCTGGGCATAGTGGCAGGTGCCTGTAGTCTCAGCTACTCGGGAGGCTGAGGCAGGAGAATGGCCTGAACCCGGGAGGCGGAGCTTGCAGTGAGCCGAGATCGCGCCACCGCACTCCAGCCTGGGCGACAGAGCGAGACTCCGTCTCAGAAAAAAAATATATGAAATAAAAGGAGAAATTTTACCAACTGTGGAATGGAGAAATAAAGAAATGAAGTTGCAGAGCTGCCGGAGAGCTACTCACCTCCCAACACCTGGCCCTACTCGCCGGCGGAGATGAGGGCTGCAGGTTGAGAAAGCTCTAATAAGGCTTCTCTCTCGGCCGCAGCCCTGTGATTGGCCCTCGGGGCGTAATCGTTGCTGAGCACTTCCTGTATCCACCGGAATTACTGAGAGGTCTTTTGGGGGCGGGGGGTGTTGGGGGGCGGTCCTTCACCTGAGCTTCCGGATCTCCACCTGTGGTCCTCCATCTTGACTGCCTGTTAAACTTACCTATGTGGAGCCTCATTTCAAAGCACGAACGCCTAGAGATTCTGCTTGATTGGTTACACTGGGACTGCCCAGACCCTGGAGTTCTTTCGAGAGTCCCAGATAACTGTGATTGCGGCCGAGGCTGAGAATCACCGCTTAGAAGCCTCAGCTGTGATTGGCTACCTTCTCCCATCACCCCAGGTATATTATTAATAAAAATCCAACCGTATTTCAAGTGAAATATCAATGACACGTCAACTATGAGACGCATGAAAAGCACCAAGTTCATCAGTTTCACATTCACAGTATTATTATTATTTTATTTTTAATGGAGTCTTGCTCTGTTCCCCAGGCTGGAGTGCAACGGCACGATCTCGGCTCCCCGCAGCCTCCGCCTGCCGGCTTCAAGTGATTCCCCTGCCTCAGCCTCCCGAGTAGCTGAGATTACAAGCATGCGCCACAACGCCTGGTTAATTTTTGTATTTTTTTCAATAGAGACGGGGTTTTGCCATGCTGGCCAGGCTGGTCTCAAACTCCTGACCTCAGGTGATCTGCCAGCCTCAGCCTCCTAAAGTGCTGGGATTACAGGCGTGAGCCACCGTGCCTGGCTGGCAGTATTAATTTTGTAAACATATAGCCGGGCACAGTGGCTCACGCCTGTAATCCCAGCACTTTGGGAGGCCGAGGCAGGTGGATCACGAGGTCAGGAGATCGAGACCATCCTGGCTAACACGGTGAAACCCCGTCTCTACTAAAAATACAAAAAATTAGCCGGGCGTGGTGGCGGGCACCTGTAGTCCCAGCTACTCGGGAGGCTGAGGCAGGAGAATGGCGTGAACCCGGGAGGCGGAGCTTGCAGTGAGCCGAGATCGCGCCACTGCACTCCAGCCTGGGCGACAGAGCAAGGCTCCATCTCAAAAAAAAAAAAAAAAAAAAACACCATATAAATAAGACTAAAAAGTTGGGTTTTGGCCGGGCGCGGTGGCTCACGCCTGTAATTCCAGCACTTTGGGAGGCCAAGGCGGGTGGATCACGAGGTCAGGACTTCAAGACCAGCCTGGCCAAGATGATGAAACCCCGTCTCAACTAAAAATACAAAAAATTAGTCGGGCGTGGTGGCAGGTGCCTGTAATCCCAGCTACTTGGGAGGCTGAAGCAGAGAATTGCTTGAACCCAGGAGGCGGAGGTTGCAGTGAGCCGAGACCGCACCACTGCACTCCACCCTGGGCGACAGAGTGAGACTCCGTCTCAAAAAAAAAAGAAAAAAGTTGGGTTTTATAGCTTTTTTTCATGTTTCTTTGTTTGTTTTGCTTTTTTTTTTTCTGAGACTGAGTCTGGCACTGTCGCCCGGGCTGGAGTGCAGTGGCGCAATCTTGGCTCACTGCAACCTCCGCCTCCAGAGTTCAAGCGATTCTCCTGCCTCAGCCTCCTGAATAGCTGGGATTACAGGCGCGTGCCACTGTACCCGGCTAATTTTCTTATTTTTAGTAGAGATGGGGTTTCACCATGTTGGACAGGGTGGTCTTGAACTCCCAACCTCAGGTAATCTGCTCACCTCGGCCTCCCAAAGTGCTAGGATTACAGGCATGAGCCACTGCGCCTAGCCTTTTTTTTGTATTTTTAGTAGAGATGGGGTTTCACTATGTTGGCCAGGCTGGTCTCAAACTCTTGACCTCGTGATCCGCCCGCCTCGGCCTCCCAAAGTGCTTGGGTTGCAGGCACGAACCACCGCGCCCAGCCTTTTTCATGTTTTAGAACCAACATATGTATATGTACATCTATATTTCTTTTCGTTTTTTCTTTTTGAGACAGGGTCTCACTCTGTCGCCTAGGCTGGTGTGCAGTGGCACAATCATAGCTTACTGAAGGCTACAGGCATACGCCATCACGCCTGACTAGATTTTTGTATTTTTTATAGAGATGGAGGTCTCACTATGTTGCCCAGGCTGGTCTCAACCCCATGGGCTTAAGCAATCTTCCCACCACGGCCTCCCAAAGTGCTGGGATTTCCGGCGTGAGCCACCATGCTTGACCCTGTGTTTACTTATTAAGTCCTCTAAACATTGCTACACAGTAGTGATTGCCATGATCCTACCCATTTTTCACTTTCCTTGAGAAAATGAAGGCAAGGCATATTTAGAAAACCTGTCTGAGGTCTTGAAGATCACAAACAGCTGTCAGCTTCCGGAAGCCCAGCTCTTCACTGCCGCGCTCAGTTGCCTATCCTAGAAAGAATAAGAAAGTGAGGGGGCCCAGTGTGGTGCCTCACGCCTGTAATCCCAGCACTCTGGGAGGCCAAGGCGGGTGGATCACGAGGTCAGGAAATCGAGACCATCCTGGCTAACACGGTGAAACCCCGTCTCTACTAAAAATACAAAAAATTAGCCGGGCGTGGTGGCGGGCGCCTGTAGTCCCAGCTACTCGGGAGGCTGAGGCAGGAGAATGGCGTGAACCCGGGAGGCGGAGCTTGCAGTGAGCTGAGATCGCGCCACTGCACTCCAGCCTGGGTGACAGAGCAAGACTCTGTCTCAAAAACAAACAAACAAAAAAGAAAGAAAGAAAGAAAAGAAAATGAGGGGCTGGGCGTGGTGATTCATGCCTGTAATCCCAGCACTTTGGGAGGCCGAGGCGGGTGGATCACCTGAGGTCAGGAGTTCGAGATCAGCCTGACCAACATGGTGAAACCCCATCTCTACTAAAAATACACAAAAAATTAGCCAGGCGTAGTGGCAGATGCCTGTAATTCCAGCTATTCTGGAGGCTGAGGCAGGAAAATGGCTGGAACCTGGGAGGCAGAGGTTGCAGTGAGCTGAGATCGTGCCATTGCACTCCAGCCTGGGCAACAAGAGCGAAACTCTGTCTCAAAAAAAAAAAAAAAATTGAGGGATGGAGGGAATAGGAAGGATGAATGAAAATGTGCAGGAGCAGTTTTCAGACTGCACATTTCAATAAATTCTTTTTCATTTTTTCTTTTTTTTTTTTTTGAGATGGAGTTTTGCTCTTGTCGCCCAGGCTGGAGTGCAATGGCGCGATCTCAGCTCACTGCAACCTCTGCCTGCCGGTTTCCTGTGATTCTCCTGCCTCAGACTCCTGTGTAGCTGGGATTACAGGCATGTACCACCACGCCCGGCTAATTTTGTAGTTCTAGTAGAGATGGGGTTTCACCATACCCTTTTGGCCAGGCTGTTCTTGAACTCCTGACCTCAGGTGATCCACCCGCCTCAGCCTCCCAAAGTTCTGGGATTACAGGCATCCACTTCCCCCGACCTTTTTCTACCTTCTTAATATGGACACCCTACCATAATTTGGAGGTACTTTTTTTTTTGTTTCCTTTTTGAGACAGACTCTCGCTCTGTTGCCCAGGCTGGAGTGCAGTGGTGTGGTCTCGGCTCACTGCAACCTCTGCCTCCGGGGCTCAAGCAATTCTCTTGCCTCAGCCTCCTACAGGCACCTGCCACCATGCCAGGCTAATTTTTAGTACAGATAGGTTTTCACCATGCTGGCCAGGCTCTTCTTGAACTCCTGATCTGAGATCCACCTGCCTCGGCTTCCGAAAGTGCTGGGATTACAGGTGTGAACCACCACGCCCAGCCACAGTACCTTTTTTAAAAAATTTGTATTTTCTTTTATTTATCTATTTATTTATTTAGAGATGAAGTCTCTCTGTTGTTGCCCAGGCTGGAGTGCAGTGGCATGATCTTGGCTCACTGCAACCTCTGCCTCCCGGGTTCAAGTGATTCTCCTGCCCTAGCTGGGATTATAGGCTCCCGCCACCATACCAAGCTAATTTTGTATTTTTAGTAGACACGGGGTTTCACCACCTTGGCCGGGCTGGTCTTGGACTCCTGACCTCGGGTGATCCACCTGCTTTGGCCTCCCAAAGTGCTGGAATTACAGGCGTGAGACACTGTGCCTGGCCCACTCCCCCTCTTTTTTAACTAGAGACTGGGTCTCACTTTGTACACCGGGCCGGTCTTGAACTCCTGGGCTCCATGGCCCTCCCGCCTTGGCCTCCCAAAGTACTGAGATTACAGGTGTGAGCCACTATGCCTGGCCCATTATTTTATATTTTAATATAAATATTTACATTTATAAATTTCCATCAGTGCAACAAACACATTTCAACAGCAATTTCACCACCACTCAGTTCTAGCATTTTTAAAAATGCCCTTTGTTATTTCTTCTTTGACCTTGGAATTATATAGAATATTTTTTTAAGACTCAAATGCATGGGATTAAGAAATTATCTTTTGTGCTGGGCATGGTGGCTCACGCCTGTAATCCCAGCACTTTGGGAGGCCGAGGCAAGCGGATCACGAGGTCAGGAGATCGAGACCATCCTGGCTAACACGGTGAAACCCCGTCTCTACTAAAAATTAAAAAAATTAGCTGGGCACGGTGGCGGGTGCCTGTAGTCCCAGCTACTTGGGAGGCTGAGGCAGGAGAATGGCGTGAATCCGGGAGGCGGAGCTTGCAGTGAGCCACCATCACACCACTGCACTCCAGCCTAGGTGACAGAGCAAGACTCCATCTCAAAAAATAAAAATAAAAATAAAAATAAAACTATCTTTTGTTATTCTTCTAACTTTTGTTCTATTGAGGAAATTGAGACTGAAATGTTAAGTAGCAACCCCAAGGTCACATAACTCATGGGTGGCTGGGGAGAAGGATGGATTTAAACAGACTTCTGGTTGAGCGCGGTGGCTTAAGGCTGTAATCCCAGCACTTTGGGAGGCTGAGATGGGTGGATCACTTGAGGTCAGGAGCTCGAGACTAGCCTGGCCAACATGGTGAAATCCCGTCTCTACTGAAAATACAAAAGTTAGCTGGGTGTGGCGGCAGGCACCTGTAATCCCAGCTACCCAGGAGGCTGAGGGAGGAGAATTGCTTGAACCCGGGAAGCAGAGGTTGCAGTGAGCTGAGATCTCGCCACTGCACTCCAGCCTGGGTGATAGAGGGAGACAACATCTCAAAAAACAAAACGAAAGAAACAAACAAACAAAAAAAACAAGAAACACCAGACTTCTGTTGGAATAAGTGAGTTTGGTTCGGGTAGATGGAACCTGCAAAGGGGTTTGGAGATCCAAAAGAGGAACTACGTGGTTAGAACAGAGTATCGGATGAACTGATAAGAAACCACAATTCAAAAACAATTCAACAAAATGCCCAGGTCTGTGAAAGCCTGTCTACACCAGGCCTTGGGTCTCTGTGTACATTGCCTGCTTCTGACAAGGCTCTGCAGCCGGGAGTCGGCTCCCAGGGTTGCATGGCTGGGAACAACAGAAGCTCAGGAGCGGACCTAAAACGGAGCAGTTGGGTAAAATGAAGCTGTCTCCATTTACTTTCTACAGACAGACATCCATGAGAGGATGAGGAGGTGTGCTTGCCTCCTGGTCAAGCACTAATTTTTTTTTCCAAGCACTAATTTTAATTTTTTTATTTTTTGTAGAAACAGGGTCTCAGAGTATTTGCTTTGGCAGCACATACACTAAAATTGGAAATGGGGGTCTTGCTATGTTGCCCAGGCTGGACTTGAGCTCCTGGGCTCAAGGGATCCTCCCACCTCAACCTCCTAAAGTGCTATCCACTCTGACCTTGTGATCCACCTGCCTCAGCCTCCCAAAGTGCTGGTGAGGGAAGAGAGAAACCGTCTCATATTGTTTTATATTGTTTTATACTCAGTACTTGTTTTAGAAAAAAAACAAGGAGGCCGGGCACGGTGGCTCACGCCTGTAATCCCAGCACTTTGGGAGGCCAAGGCGGGTGGATCACAAGGTCAGGAGTTTGAGACCAGCCTGGCCAACATGGTGAAACCCCGTCTCTATTAAAAATACAAAAATTAGCCGGGCATGGTGGCGTGCGCCTGTAATCCCAGCTACTCGGAAGGATGAGGCAGCAGAATTGCTTGAATCCAGGAGGCGGAGCTTGCAGTGAGCCGAGATTGTGCCACTGCACTCCAGCCTTAGCGACAGAGCAAGACTCTGTCTCAAAAAAAAAAAAAAAGAAAAAGAAAAAAACAAGGAAGTGAAACCAAAGGCAGGTAGCCCGGCGCCAGGCACCAGACCCAAAACCAGACCCGAAACCAGGCCTGGGCCTGCCTGGCGTAAACCTAGTAGATAAAAATCAACTCATGACTTAGAACCCGATGTTATCCATAGATTCCAGGCATTGTATAGAAGAACACTGTGAAACTCCCTGCCCTATTCTTTCTCTCTGACCAGCAGTGCACGAAACCCCTGTTATGTATCCCCTAGATTGCTCAATCATGACCCTTTCATGCGCAGTCTTTAGTGTTGTGAGCCCTTAAAAGGGACAGAAACTGTGCACTCGAGGAGCTTGGATTTTAAGACAGTAGCTTGCCGATGCTCCCAGCTGAATAAAGCCCTTCCTTCTACAACTCGGTGTCTGAGAGGTTTTTGTCTGTGGCTCGTCCTGCTACACTGGGATTACAGGCGTGAGCCACTGTGCCTGGCCACTAGTTATTATTATTATTATTATTTGAGACAGAGTCTCACTCTGTCCCTTGGGCTGGAGTGCAGTGGCCTGATCTTGACTCACTGCAACCTTTGCCTCCCGGGTTCAAGCGATTCTCCTGCCTCAGCCTCCAGAGTAGCTGGGATTACAGGCATGCACCACTATGCCCAGCTAGCTAACTTTTTGTATTTTTAGTAGAGACAGGGTTTCACCATGTTGGCCAGGCTGGTCTTGAACTCCTGACCTTGTGATTCGCCCACCTCGGCGTCCCAAAGTGCTGGGATTAGAGGCGTGAGCCACTGCACCCGGCAATACTAGTTATTGTTAATGCTATTATTGTTACTGACATGTTCATTTTTACCTAGCCACTTTATTTTCCCACCTCTTTCTCCCTACTTCTCCTAAGTGTCAATGTTAGATAAGTCTGAAATTCTCTTTCCCTGTCCCTCTCTGTCTCTCTCTCCTTCTTTGTCTTTCTTTCACCTGAGACCCATAATCCTGGAGATAGCAAGTGCCTCAGGGAGAAAATCCCAAACCAAGCGATTCTCCTGCCCTAGCCTTCCAAGTAGCTGGGATTACAGGCTCCTGCCACCATACCAAGCTAATTTTGTATTTTTAGTAAAGACACGGTCTCACCACCTTGGCCAGGCTAGTCTCGGACTCCTGACCTCAGGTGATCCACCCACCTGGGCCTCCCAAAGTGCTGGAATTACAGGCGTGAGACACCGTGCCCGGCCCCCTCCCCATCTTTTTTAAATAGAGACTGGGTCTCACTTTGTACACCGGGCCAGTCTTGAACTCTTGGGCTCCATGGCCCTCCAGTGTGGAGGAGAGAAAATGGATTCCCTCCACCCTCCTAGGTTCTTTGGATGGGCTATGAATTACATTGACACAAAACAGTTTGACAGAAGAAAAACCAGATTCAATTATGTATGCACAGGAGTCCCACAAAAATGTGAGACTGGAGGAAGGGCCAGATGATTGAAGCTCATCTAGCTGCCTGAGCTACAGAAAGGAGTATAAGAGTGTAGGGTGCAGTGGCTCACGCCTGTGATCCCAGCAGTTTGGGAGGCCAAGGTGGGTGGATCACCTGAGGTCAGGAGTTTGAGACCAGCCTGGCCAACATGGTGAAACCCCATCTCTGCTAAAAATACAAAAATTAGCTGGTGTGGTGGTGTGTGCCTGTAATCCCAGCTACTCCGGAGGCTGAGGCAGGAGAATCACTTGAACCCGGGAGGAGGAAACTGCAGTGAGCTAAGATCGCACCATTGTACTCCAGCCTGGGCTTCAAAGGGAGACTCCATCTCAAAAAAAAAAAAAAAAAGAAGAAGAAGAAGAAAGGAGTAGGGGTGTCCGTCCCGGTGGCTCACGGTCTGTAATCTCAACACTTTGGGAACCGAAATGGGTGGATCACCTGACGTCGGGAGTTTGAGACTAGCCTGGACAACAGGGTGAAACCCAGTCTCCACTAAAAATACAAAAATTAGCCAGGTGTGGTGGTGTGCCCTGTAATCCCAGCTACTTGGGAGGCTGAGACAGGAGGATTACTTGAACCCGGGAGGTGGAGGTTGCAGTGGGCCAAGATCACGCCACTGCACTGCAGCCTGGGAGATAGAGGGAGACCCTGTCTCAAAATAAAATAAATAAATAAATAAATAAATACATACATACATAAATGAAAAGGCGTAGAGACTTGGAGCTTCTGGGGGTGGTGGAGGCAAATTAAGGTATGATAAAAGGGGGAAAAGTTGCTGGGTTCACGCCTGTAATTCCAGCACTTTGGGAGGCCAAGGCAGGTGGATCACCAGAGGACAGGAGTTCGAGACAAGCCTGGCCAACATGGTGAAACCCCGTTTCTACTAAAAATGCAAAAAATTAGAAGGCGTGGTGTTGGGTGTCAGTGATCCACCTGCCTCGGCCTCCCAAAGTGCTGATATTATAGGCGTGAGCCACTGCGCCCGGCCTTTTTTTTTTTTTGAGGGAGAGTCTTGCTCTGTCTCCCAGGCTGGAGTGCAAAGGCACAATCTCAGCTCACTGCAACCTCCGCCTCCCGGGTTCAAGTGATTCTCCTGCCTCAGCCTCCCGAGTAGCTGGTATTACAGGCACCTGCCACCGCGCCCAGCTAATTTTTGTATTTTTTTTTAGTAGAGATGGGGTTTTGCCATGTTCACCAGGGTGGTCTCAAAGTCCTGACCTCAAGTGATCCGCCTGCCTTGGCCTCCCAAAATCCTGGAATGACAGGCATGAACCACCATACCCAGTCCTGTTTTTCCTACTTTCACACTCAACACAGAATACTTCACCAAAAATGTATGTTTCTCCCCACCAACAACCAGTTCTCCAGCAGAGACCAGCTGGGTGTCCTCTCCTTTGATTTAGTTCTGACACTCCCTACCTGGGGACAGCATCAGATCCCAAAGGTTCAGGGCTGAGTCCCACAAGACTGACTGACTTCCTTCCTTCCTTCCTTGTCCCACAAGACTGACTTCCTTTCCCTCCTTCCCTTCCCTCCTTCCCTCCTTCCCTCCTTCCTTCCTTTCTCTCCCTCTGTTGCCCAGGCTGGAGTGCAGTTGCGAGATCATGGCTCACTGTAGCCATGACCTCCCAGTCTCAAGTGATCCTCCTGCCTTGGCCTCCTGAGTAGCTGGGACTACAGGCATGCACGATCACAGTTGGCTATTTATTTATTTATTTATTTATTTTTGAGACACAGTCTTGCTCTGTCATCCAGGCTGGAGTGCAGTCCTGTCATCTAGGCTGGAGTGCATTTTTGCAATACAAAAATTAGCCAGGCATGGGAGCGAATGTCTATAATCCCAGCTACTTGGGAGGCTGAGGCTCGACAATCCCTTGAACCCAGGAGGTTGAGGATCACAGCTCACTGCAACCTCAGTCTTGCTGTGTCGCCCAGGCTGAAGTGCAGTGGCACGATCTTGGCTCACTGCAACCTACGACTCCGGGGTTCACGTCATTCTCCTGCCTCAGCCTCCCGAGTAGCTGGGACCACAGGCGCCCACGACCTCCTGGCTAACTTTTGTATTTTTTGTAGAGATGGGGTTTCGCCATGTTAGTCAGGCTGGTCTGACCTCAAATGATTCACCCACCTCAGCTCCCCAACATGCTGGGCTTACAGCCACTGTGCTCAGTCGAAATTCTGTATATTTGATCAAGAAGAGGTTTCGTCATGTTGTCCAGGCTGGTCTGGAACTCTTGAACTCAAGCAATCCACCTACCTGGGCTGCCCAAAGTTCGGGGATTCCAGGCATGTGCCACCATGCCTGGCCCAAGGCTGCTCTTCCTAAAGAAGAAAATTATTCCAATGATTTTATTTATTTATTTTTGAGACGGAGTTTCACTCTTGTTGCCCAGGCTGGAGTGCAATGGCATGATCTTGGCTCACTGCAACCTCTGCCACCCGGGTTCAAGTGATTCTCCTGCCTCAGCCTCCTGAGTAGCTGGGA
The DNA here is from genome assembly GCF_000001405.40 of Homo sapiens. Taxonomy (NCBI): domain Eukaryota; kingdom Metazoa; phylum Chordata; class Mammalia; order Primates; family Hominidae; genus Homo; species Homo sapiens. The sequence continues at coordinate 859,047 of NW_003571060.1, read as the reverse complement.
TTACAGGCACGCACCACCACACCCAGCTAATTTTTTTGTATTTTAGTAGAGACGGGGTTTCTCCATGTTGGTCAGGCTGGTCTCAAACTTCGGACCTCAGGTGATCCGCCAGCCTTGGCCTCCCAAAGTGCTGGGATTGCAGGCATGAGCCACCGCGCCCGGCCACCAATGATATTTTTTAAAAGCAAGTAAGGACGAGCTGGGCATGGTGGGTTCTTGAATCTCATACCAGAAAGAATTCAGGGCGAGACTATGGAGTAAAGTGGAAGCAAGCTTATTAGGAAAGTGAAGGAGTAAAAGAATAGCTACTCCATAGACAGCAGCCCATAGGGCTGCTAGTTGCCCTTATTTTTTTTGAGATGGAGTTTTGCTCTTGTCGCCCAGGCTGGAGTGCAGTGGCGTGATCTTGGCTCACTGAAACCTCTGCCTTGAATCACTTCAGTTCAAGTGATTCTCCTGCCTCAGCCTCCTGAGTAGCTGGGATTACAGGTGCCTGCCATCACGTCTGGCTAATTTTTGTATTTTTAGTAAGAGATGGGGTTTCACCATGTTGGCCAGGCTGATCTTGACCTCCTGAGCTCAGGTGATATGCCCGCCTCGGCCTCCCAAAGTGTTGGGATTACAGGCGTAAGCCACCACGTCTGGCCTCGGTTGCCCTTTTTTTTTTTTTTTTTTATTTTTTTGAGACGGAGTCTCGCTCTGTCACCCAGGCTGGAGTGCAGTGGCGCGATCTCCGCTCACTGCAAGCTCCATCACCCGGGTTCACGCCGTTCTCCTGCCTCAGCCTCCCGAGTAGCTGGGACTACAGGCGCCCGCCACCACGCCCAGCTAATTTTTTGTATTTTTTTTTTTTAGTAGAGATGGTTTCACCGTGTTAGCCAGGATGGTCTCAATCTCCTGACCGTGTGATCCACCCGCCTCAGCCCCCGAAAGTGCTGGGATTACAGGTGTGAGCCACCGCGCCCGGCCTGGCTGGATTCTTTATTGCTAAGGGAGGAGACCACCCCTCATATTGTCTTATGCCCAATTTCCACCTCCAAAGAAAGAAAAAGTAAAAACTAAAAGGCAGAAATGAAATCCACAAGCAGACAGCCCCGCGCCCCAGGAATGAAATCCACAAGCAGACAGCCCCGCGGCCCAGGAATGAAATCCACAAGCAGACAGCCCGGCGCCACACCCTGGGCCTGGTAGTTAAAGATTGACCCCTGACCTAATCGGTTATCTATAGATTACAGACATTGTATAGAAAAGCACTGTGAAAATCCCTATCCTGTTTTGTTTGGATCTGATTACCAGTGCATGCAGCCCCCAGTCACGTACCCCCTGCTTGCTCAGTCGATCACGACCCTCTCACGCACACCCCCTTAGAGTTGTGAGCCCTTAAAAGGGACAGGAATTGCTCACTTGGGGATCTCGGCTCTTGAGACGGGAGTCTTGCCGATGCCCCTGGCCGGATAAACCCCTTTCTTCTTTAACTCGGTGTCTGAGGAGTTTTGTCTGTGGCTGGTCCTGCTACATTGCTACCTGTGTTATCAGCAAGGTCCTTATGACCTGTATCTTGTGCTGACTTATCTCATCCTGTGACTTAGAATGCTTTTTTTTTTCTTTTTACTGCAACCTCCGCCTCCCCGGCTGAAGCGATTCTCCTGCCTCAGCCTCGCAAGTAGGTGGGATTACAGGCACGAGCCACCACGCGTGACTAATTTTTGTATTTTCAGTAGAGACGGGGTTTCACCGTGTTGGCCAGGCTGGTCTCAAACTCTACTTCGGGTAATCCACCCGCCTCGGCCTCCCAAAGTGCTGGGCCACCGTGCCTGTCATTTTTGTTTTTTTTGGAGAATGCCTTAACTGTCTGGGAATGCAGCCCGGTAGGTCTCAGCCTTATTTTAGTCAGCTCCTATTCAAGATGGAGTTGCCCTGGTTACACGCCTCTGACAGTAGGTCCGTTGCCCAATGCACGCTGTGAGTCAATTTGCCGGGTCACTGTGTTGCAGAAGAGAAGGAAGTTTAATCACAGGGCTGAGGAATGAGGAGATGGGAGGAAACCTCCAATCCATCTCCCCCAGAAGTTTGGGTCTAGGGTTTTTTTTTTTTTTGAGATGGAGTTTTGCTTTGTCACCCAGGCTGGAGTGCAGTGGCAGGATCTTTGCTCACTGCAACCTCCGCCTCCCAGGTTCAAGTAATTCTCTTGCCTCAGCCTCCTGAGTAGCTGGGGTTACAGGCACCCGCTACCACGCCCGACTAATTTTTTGTGTTTTTAGTAGAAACGGGGTTTCACTATGTTGGCCAGGCTGGTCTTGAACTCTTGACCTCAGGTGATTCACCTGCCTTGGCCTCCCAAAGTGCTGGAGTTACAGGTGTGAGCCTCTGCACCCGGCCGGGGCTAGGGTTTTTAAGTGTTTTGGTGTGGGCCAGAGTGTGGCCATGCTGACTGCTGGCGGAGACAGGGGCATGAAGACGCAGTGTTCTCATGCTGATCCCATTCCTCACTGGGGTCTTCAAACTGGTTAGTGTCAGCTATTTGGCTGGAATTCAAGGTCTGAAAAACATCTGAAACCATCCTTAAACAAAAGCCTTATAATTCTAATGTCCCAGAGTTTATCTGTAGGAACCGTGCAGATACAAATTTGTCTAATGGGGCCGGGCGCGGTGGCTCACGCCTGTAATCCCAGCACTTTGGGAGGCCTAGGCGGGAGGATCACGAGGTCAGGAGATCGAGACCATCCTGGCTAACATGGTGAAACCGCGTCTCTACTAAAAATACAAAAAAAATTAGCCAGGCATGGTTGCAGGCACCTGTAGTCCCAGCTATTCGGGAGGCTGAGGCAGGAGAATTGTGTGAACCCGGGAGGCGGAGCTTGCAGTGAGCAGAGATTGCGCCACTGCCCTCCAGCCTGGGCGACAGAGCGAGACTCCGTCTCAAAAAAAAAAAAAAATTCGTCTAATGACCCTGCTGTCAGAAATCCTATCTACAGCAATGATGAGGAGGCAAAAGTGCAGTGTCTAGAGCCACGTGATACACAGCAGCCAGGATGTGGGCCAGAGTGCAGCCTGATTCACATTTTTTCATTTTTATTTTTTTTACTAAAAGTGGGTTTTCATTTTTTGTTTTGTTTTTGTTTTTGTTTTTTGTTTTTTGAGATGGAGTCTCACTCTGTTGCACCCAGGCTGGAGTGCAGTCGTGCGACCTCGGCTCACTGCAACCTCTGCCTCTGCCTCCCGGGTTCAAACAATTCTGCCTCAGCCTCTCGAGTAGCTGGGATTACAGGCGTTGAACTACCATGCCCCGCTAATTTTTGTATTTTTGTAGAGACGCAGTTTCACCATGCTGGCTGGGCTGGTCTCAAACTCCTGACCTTAAGTGATCCATCTGCCTCAGCCTCCCAAAGTGCTGGGATTACAGGCCTGAGCCACTGTGCCTGGTCTACAAAGGATATTTTTGTGGGGAAAAGAAAGAGAGATCAGATTGTAACTGTGTCTGTGTAGAAAGAAGTAGACACAGGAGACTTCATTTTGTTCTGTACTAAGACAAATTCTTCTGCCTTGAGATGCTGTTAATCTATGACCTTACCCCCAACCCTGTGCTCTCTGAAACATGTGCTGTGTCCACTCAGGGTTAAATGGATTAAGGGCTGTGCAAGATGTGCTTTGTTAAACAAATGCTTGAAGGCAGCATGCTCCTTAAGAGTCATCACCACTCCCTAATCTCAAGTACCCAGGGACACAAACACTGCGGAAGGCCGCAGGGACCTCTGCCTAGGAAAGCCAGGTATTGTCCAGGGTTTCTCCCCATGTGATAGCCTGAAATATGGTCTCATGGGAAGGGAAAGACCTGACCGTCCCTCAGCCCGACACCAGTAAAGGGTCTGTGCTGAGGCGGATTAGTAAAAGAGGAAGGAACACCTCTTTGCAGTTGAGACAAGAGGAAGGCATCTGTCTCCTGCTCGTCCCTGGGCAATGGAATGTATGGGTGTAAACCCCGATTGTATATTCCATATACTGAGATAGGGGAAAACCGCCTTAGGGCTGGAGGTGGGACATGCGGGCAGCAATACTGCTCCGTAAGGCATTGAGATGTTTATGTGTATGCATATCTAAAGCACAGCACTTAGTTCTTTACCTTGTCTATGATGCAGAGACCTTTGTTAACGTGTTTATCTGCTGACCTTCCCTCCACTATTATCCTATGACCCTGCCACATCCCCCTCTCTGAGAAACACCCCAAAATGATCAATAAATACTAAGGGAACTCAGAAGCTGGCGGGATCCTCCATATGCTGAATGCTGGTCCCCTGGGTCCCCTTATTTCTTTCTCTATACTTTGTCTGTGTCTCTTTCTTTTCCAAGTCTCTCCTTCCACCTAACGAGAAATGCCCACAGGTGTGGAGGGGCAACCCGCCCTTTCATATTTTAAAGGATACAAATGAACAGCCAAGGAAGAGATGCGTAGGGGGAGGTTTAGAGGAGTCCGAAGTGCAGGAGCTTCTGTCCCTGTGGACCTGGGGTGCACCACAGTCCTGGCACACGAATGCACCCGGGTTCACCAACCAGGAAGCTCTTCTGAACTCTTTCCTGGTTTTTTTTTTTTTTGAGACAGTCTAACTCCGTCACCCAGGCTGGAGTGCAGTGGCGCTATCTCAGCTCACTGCAGCCTCTGTCTCCTGCGTTCAAGTGATTCTCATGCCTCAGCCTCCTGAGTAGCTGGGTCTACAGGTGCACTCCACCACGCCTGGCTAATTTTTTATTTTTTGTAGAGCCAGGGTCTTGCTATTTTGTCCAGACTGGCCTAGAATTCTTGGGCTCAAGCAATCCTCCCATCTAGGCCTCCCAAAGCGTTGGGATTACGGGCATGAGCCACAGGACACCCGGCCCAAACCCTTTTCTTTTGGGGTTTATGGAGGATTCCTTAGGTGGGCAATGCTGATCACATAGCTGGCAGTTCATAATCAATTCAACCTTCAGCCCCTCTCCCCTCCCTGGAGGCCACTTGGAGCCTGGGGCTGAAAGTTCCCAATGTCTAATCACTGACGGTTTCTTTGGCAGCCAGTCCCTCGCACTTGTGGGGTTATCTAGGGGCTTTCCAAAAGTCACCTCATTTACATAAACTCAGGTGTGGTTGCAGGGCCTGGGTATGTATAACAAGAGATACCTCTTTCATGTTTATCTCTCCATAGCTGCTCTAGGACTAAAGGCCAAATGTTTTAACAAAATATACTCTCTCTCTCTTTTTGTCAGCTAGAATATAATTTATTTTTATTGTTTTTATTTTCTTTTTCTTCAGAGAGGGAGTCTCGCCATATTGCCCAGGCTGGTCTTGAACTCCTGGACTCAGGCAGTCCTCCCGCCTCAGCCTCCCAAAGTGCTGGGATTACATTCATGAACCACTGCGCCTGGCCATCTTTTTTTTTTTTTTTTAAAGATGGAGTCTCTGTCGCCCAGGCTGGAGCGCAGTGGTGCAATCTCGGCTCACGGCAACCTCCAACTCCCAGGTTCAATCAATTCTTACGCCTCAGCCTCCTGAGTAGCTGGGATTACAGGTGCACACCACCATGCCTGGCTAATTCTTTATTTTTAGTAGCCAGGGGTTTTTTGCCATGTTGCCCAGGTTGGTCTCGAACTGCTGACCTCAGATGATCCACCTGCCTCAGCCTTCCAAAGTGCAGGGATTACAGGTGTGAGCCACCATGCCAGGCCTCCATAGTGCCTATTTCTATAGATGGCATGCTGCAACTGATATATACATCTTCATTTGTGGGACCATTTGCTTCCATTAAATTAACAGTTTAAACTACCAAAATTCTGTGCTGAATGCTTTCCACAACATACACTGTTTTATTTAAAAACAATTTTAGGCCAGGTGCGGTGGCTCATGCCTGTAATCACCTGACATCAGGAGTTTGAGACCAGCCTGACCAATATGGTGAAACCCTGTCTCTACTAAAAATACAAAAAATTAGTTGGGCATGGTGGCATGTGCCTGCAGTCCCAGCTACTTGGGAAGCTGAGGCATCAGAATTGCTTGAACCTGGAAGGCAGAGGTTGCAAGAATGGAGATTGCACCACTGCACTCCAGCCTGGGCCACAGAGCAAGACTCCATCCAAAAAAAAAAATTAAATATCAGTTATCTATTTATTTTTTTGAGACTGGGTCTCACTCTGTGGCCTAGGCTGGAGTGAGATGGCCAGTCACAGCTCACTGCAGCCTCAAACTCCTGAGCTCAGGTGATCCTCCCACCTCAGCCTCCTGAATAGCTGGGATTACAGGTGCAGCCCATCATGTATGGCTAATTTTTTTGTTTTTGTTTTTGAGACAGTCTTGCTCTTGTCACCCAGGCTGGAGTGCAATGGCGTGATCGTGCCTCACTCACCCTCCACCTCCCTAGTTCAAGTGATTGTCCTGTCTCAGCCTCCCGAGTAGCTGGGATTACAGGCACCTGCCACCACACCTGGCTAATTTTTTGTATGTTTAGTAGAGACAGAGTTTCACCACGTTGGCCAGTCTGGTCTCCAACTCCTGACCTCAGGTGATCCACCCGCCTCGGCTTCCCAAATTGCTGGGACTACAGGCATGAGCTACCACGCCCAGCCTATGCATGGCTAATTATTAAATATTTTTGAAGAGATGGCATCTTGCTATGTTGCCTAGGCTGGTATCAAACTCCTGGCCCCTAGGGATCCACTGGCCTAGGCCTCTCAGCCTGCTGGGATTTATAGGCAGGAGGCACCACAGTTGGCCACAAAGTAGACTTATTGTATTTGTAACTTAGGAAGTCACGGGAGTTTTTGTCCTCTTTTTTTTTAATTTTTATTTATTTTTGTTTAATTTTTTTTCTCTACAAGAGTTTTTAAAGCTGGGAGCCAGGTACCCTGCAAAACCCAAAATGTGTATTTCCTGTTCTGTCGCCTATCACACCTGGCCCGGGTGGTCTAGGAAGGGAATTGCACATTAATCTCACCTGGGGAGATTCAGCAAGCCGTAATTCTCCAAAGCCCACTGAAGCCCAATTACAGCCAAATCCCTGAGGATGGGGCCCAGGTGATGTCAAGGTGAGCCTGAGGTCAGTGGTTGGGAGCCACCCAATGTTAATCTCAGTGGGGCGGTTCCACCCTGGGCGGGAAAGCTGTCTCTCCACCTAGCGTACCAAGGGCCAGAGACCTCCCCTTTTTATCCGTTTCCTTTGCAGGAAACACAGGCTGGAAGCAAGACCTGACCTGAGGGAGGTGAGTGCTGGTTCTTGCATCGATTTCTTTGTCTTTTCGTTTAAGGGAGAAGAAGCTATTGGTTGAGTTTCCACCATAGCCCTTCCCAAGCCTTAATGGTTGGTGCGAGGATGCTGGAAGGATCTTTGATTTTTTTTTTTTTTGAGACGGAGTCTCCCTCTGTCGCCCAGGCTGGAGTGCAGTGGCGTGATCTTGGTTCGCTGCAAACTCCGCCTCCTGGGTTCACCCGCCATTCTCCTGCCTCAGCCTCCTGAGTAGCTGGGACTACAGGCACGTGCCACCATGCCCAGCTAATTTTTGTATTTTTAGTAGAGACGGGGTCTCACCATGTTGGCCAGGCTGGTCTTGAACTCCTGACTTTAGGTAATCTGTCTGCCTCGGCCTCCCAAAGTGCTGGGATTCCAGGTGTGAGCCACCACGCCTGGCCTAATGTCTTAAGGACTTCTATTCAAATATAGTTTAGAGGAGTTCAGGAGATTGAGACTAGCCTGGGCAACATGGTAAAACTCTGTCATTACAAAAAAATATAAGGCCAGGCACAGTGGTTCATGCCTGTTATCCCAACACTTTGGGAGGCCGAGGCGGGTGGATCACTTGAGGCCAGAAGTTTGAGACCAGCCTGCCCAAAATGGTGAAACCCTGTCTCTACTAAAAACACAAAAATTAGCCAGGTGTGGTGGTGCATGCCTGTAATCCCAGTTACTTGGAAGGTTGAGGCAGGAGAATAGCTTAAACCTAGGAGGGGGAGGTTGCAATGAGCTGAGATCGCGCCACTGCACTCCAGCCTGGGAGACAGAGTGCGACTCCGTCTCAAAAAACAAAGAAGGCCAGACCTTGTGCTGTGTCCAAGCTACTTGTGGGGTGAGGTGGGAGGATCACCTGAGCCAGGAGGTGGGGGCTGCAATGAGGTGTGATTGAGCCACTGCACTCCAGCCTGGATGAGATGAAGACCCTGTTTAAAAAAAAAAAAAAGTAGGCTGGGCGCGGTGGCTCACGCCTGTAATCCCAGCACTTTCAGATCACCTGAGGCCGGGAGTTTGAGACCAGCCTGACCAACATGGAGAAACCCCATCTCTACTAAAAATACAAAATTAGCTGGGCGTGGTGGCACATGCCTGTAATCCCAGCTACTCGGGAGGCTGAGGCAGGAGAATCACTTGAACCCGGGAGGCGGAGGTTGCGGTGAGCTGAGATTGCGCCACTGCACTCCAGCCTGGGCAACCAGAGTGAAATGCTGCATCAAAAAAAAAAAAAAATGTAAATGGCCAGATGCGGTGGCTCACGCCTGTGATCCCAGCACTTTGGGAGGCCGAGGCGGGTGGATCAGCTGAGGTCAGGAGTTCGAGGCCAGCCTGGCCAACATAGAGAAACCCTGTCTCGGCCGGGCGCGGTGGCTCACGCCTGTAATCCCAGCACTATGGGAGGCCGAGGCGGGCGGATCACGAGGTCAGAAGATCGAGACCATCCTGGCTAACACGGTGAAACCCCATCTCTACTAAAAATACAAAAAAAATTAGCTGGGCATAGTGGCGGGCGCCTGTAGTCCCAGCTACTTGGGAGGCTGAGGCAGGAGAATGGCGTGAACCTGGGAGGCGGAGCTTGCAGTGAGCCCAGATCGCGCCACTGCACTCCAGCCTGGGTGACAGAGCAAGACTCCATCTCAGAAAAAAACAAGAAACCCTGTCTCTACTAAAAATACAAAAACTAGCCCGGCGTGATGCGGTGCGCCTGTAATCCCAGCTTCTTGAGAGGCTGAGGCACTAGAATCACTTGAACCTGGGAGGTGGAGGTTGCAGTGAGTCGAGATTGTGCCACTGCACTCCAGCCTGGGCAACAGAGGGAGACTCCATCTCAAAAAAAAGAAAAAAAGAAAAAAATGTACTTGGGAAAAAAAATACTTGGCCAGGCCTGGTGGCTCATACCTGTAATCCCAGCACTTTGGGAGGCTGAGGTGGGCAGATCACCTGAGGTCAGGAGTTCAAGACCAGCCTGGCCAACATGGTGAAACCCCGTTTGTACTAAAAATACAAAAAAAATTAGGTGTGGTGGGGCATACCTGTAATCCCAGCTACTTGGGAGGCCGAGGCAGGAGAATCGCTTGAACCCGGGAAGAGGAGGTTGTGGTAAGCCTCGCACCATTGCACTCCAGCCTGGGCGACAGAGCAAGACTTTCTGAAAAAGAAAAAAAAAACCCTGAATTTTTCTTTTCTTTTCTTTTTTTTTTTTTTTTTGAGAGGGAGTCTCACTCGCCCAGGCTGGAGTGCAGTGGCGCGATCTTGGCTCACTGCAAGCTCCGCCTCCCAGGTTCAAGCCATTCTCCTGCCTCAGCCTCCCAAGTAGCTGGGACTACAGGCGCCCGCCACCATGCCCGGCTAATTTTTTTTTTGTATTTTTAGTAGAGACGGGGTTTCACCGTGTTAGCCAGGATGGTCTTGAGCTCCTCACCTTGTGATCTGCCCGCCTCGGCCTCCCATAGTGCTGGGATTACAGGCGTGAGCCACCGTGCCTGGCCAAAAAACCCTGAATTTTTCTAAGTACATCAAGCGTTGTCACTGCAAAAACGAAAGGCAACTATATGAAGCAGTGGATATGTTAATTAGCTGGATTGTGGTAATCATTTCACTGTATATATAACATCGCTCCATGCTGTACACTTTGACAAGTAAACGTTGTATATATTACTTTAAAAATACTTAAAAAATAGAGACAAGGTCTCCTTGTGTCGCCCAGGCTGGTCTGGAACTCCTGGGCTCTCATGCTCTTCCTGCTCCATCCTAAAATAGGATATATGTAATTATACCTCACTGAAGGGGTGGCCTGCCCCTCCACACCTGTGGGTGTTTCTTGTCAGGTGGGACGAGAGACTGAGAAAAGAAAGAGACACAGAGACAAAGTACACAGAAAGAAAAGTGGGCTCAGGAGACCTGCGCCGGCCGGGTCTCTGAGTTCCTTCAGTATTTATTGGTCATTATCTCTACCATCTCGGAGACGGGGATGTGGCAGGACAATAGGGTAACAGTGGGGAGAGGGTCAGCAGGAAAACATGTGAGCAAATGTCTGTGTCATAAACAAGGTTAGGAAATGTGCTGTGCCTTGATGTGCTCATACATAAACATATCTGGTGCATTAAAGAGCAGTATTGCTGCCAGCATGTGTCACCTCCAGCCCTAAGGCGGTTTTCCCCTATCTCGGTGGATGGAACATACCATCGGGTTTTACACCGAGACATTCCATTGCCCAGGGACGAGCAGGAGACAGATGCCTTCCTCTTAACTGCAAAAAGGCCTTCCTCTTATACTAATCCTCTTCAGCACAGACCCTTTACGGGTGTCGGGCTGGGGTACGGTCTGGTCTTTCCCTTCCCACGAGGCCTTATCTCAGGCTATCACATGGGGAGAAACTTTGGACAATACCTGGCTTTTCTAGGCAGAGGTCCCTGCAGCCTTCTGCAGTGTATTGTGTCCCTGGGTGCTTGAGATTAGAGAGTGGTGATGACTTTTAACAAGCATGCTGCCTTCAAGCATCTGTTTAACAAAGCACATCCTGCATAGCCCTAAACCCACGTGTGACACAGCACATGTTTCTGGGAGCACAGGGTTGGGGCTAGGGTTACAGGTTAACAGCATCTCAAGGCAGAAGAATTTTTCTTAGTACAGAACAAAATGGAGTCTCTTATGTCTATTTCTTTCTACATAGACACAGTAACAGTCTGATCTGTCCTCCTTTTCCCCACACGTCACAGCTGGGGAAAAAGATTTGCTGTTCCCTCCAAGGGTAAAGCTGTCCACCTCTATCAGCACCCGGGCTTGGCAAGTCACTTTTTCTGTTATTTATTTTCCAGGCTGCCTCTTCCCCCCGCCCCCCCAACCCAGACGGAGTCTCGCTCTGTCGCCCAGGCTGGAGTGCGGTGGCGCGATCTCCGCTCACTGCAAGCTCCGCCTCCCGGGTTCCCGCCATTCTCCTGCCTCAGCCTCCCGAGTAGCTGGGACTACAGGCGCCCGCCACCACGCCCGGCTAATTGTTTGTATTTTTAGTAGAGACGGGGTTTCACCGTGTTAGCCAGGATGGTCTCGATCTCCTGACCTCGTGATCCGCCTGCCTCGGCCTCCCAAAGTGCTGGGATTACAGGCGTGAGCCACTGCACCCGGCCATTAGTTACTTACTTTTGAGACAGGGCCTCACTCTGTCACCCAGGCTGGCGTGCAGTGGCTGGCTCACTGCAACCTCCAAATCGTAGGCTCAAACAATCCTCCTGTGTCAGCCTCCCAAGTATCTGGGACTACGGGTATGTTCCACCAGGCCTGGCTAAGTTTTTTTTTTTTGAGATAGAGTTTCGCTCTTGTTGCCCAGGCTGGAGTACAATGGCGCTATCTCAGCTCACTGCAACCTCCGCCTCCTGGGTTCAAGCGATTCTCCTGCCTCAGCCTCCCACGTACCTGGGATTACAGGTTCCTACCACTACACTTGGCTAGCTTTTGTATTTTTAGTAGAGATGGGGTTTCACCATGTGGGCCAGGCGGGTCTCAAACTCCTGACATCAGGCGATCCACCTGCCTCAGCCTCCCAAAGTGCTGGGATTCCAGGCCTGAGCCACCATACCCGGCCAGTACAGTTATATTTATATCTGTCCTCTTGCTATTTGTTTTCAATGTGTCATTCAGTGGTGGGCTGAAATGTTAAACAAGTGGCTCTGAGGGTTGGTGGCGAGGAAGTCTTGGTTTGTAGTGTTTGCTGATTTGTTTTTTTGTTTGTTTGAGACAGAGTCTTGTTCTTGTTGCCGAGGCTCGAGTGCAATGGCGTGATCTCAGATCATGCAACCTCCACCTCCCAGGTTCAAGTGTGATTCTCCTGTCTCGGCCTCCTGAGTAGCTGGGATTACAGGCACCCGCCACCACGCCTGGCTAATTTCTGTATTTTTAGTAGAGATGGGGTTTCGCCGTGTTGGTCAGGCTGGTCTTGAGCTCCCGACCTCAGGTTATCCACCCGCCTTGGCCTCCCAAAGTGCTGGGATTACAGGCGTGAGCCACCGCGCCCTGCCGTGTTTGCTGATTTCTGTGGCATAAACACTCCCCTTGTGATTTTGTACTATCAGTGTGAAATCACAGCCCATGGACGTTGGTATAGGTACATATAGGAAGCCCCCATTAGGCAGCACGGGCTGGCCCTAGCATACCACTGACCCTTCATTCTTTGTATTCTTTTTTTTTTTTTTTTTTTTTGAGACGGAGTCTCGCTCTGTCGCCCAGGCTGGAGTGCAATGGTGAGATCTCTGCTCACTGCAAGCTCCACTTCCCGGGTTCACACCATTCTCCTGCCTCAGCCTCCCGAGTAGCTGGGACTACAGGTGCCCGCCACCACGCCCTGCTAATTTTTTGTATTTTTTTAGTAGAGGCAGGGGTTTCACTGTGTTAGCCAGGATGGTCTCGATCTCCTGATATCGTGATCCATCCGCCTCGGCCTCCCAAAGTGCTGGGATTACAGGCGTGAGCCACCGTGCCCAGCCTTTTGTTCGTTCTTTTTACCAAGTTAGCCAGGCTGGTCTCGAACTCCTGGCCGCAGGCGTGAGCCACCGTGCTGGGCCAGATTTTCAGTCTCTTAATTCAGTCTTTGGAATATTTTACCACTCACTGTACAGCAGGAACAGTCTTGTTCTTGGCACACAGGAAACTGTGGTTTCATTTAATGATGGTAACTCGTGAACTGTTTTTTCTTTTTTCCCCCCAGTTCTTCAGCCTTAACCTAAGGTCTCATACTCGGAGCACTATGACATCGCCCCAGCTAGAGTGGACTCTGCAGACCCTTCTGGAGCAGCTGAACGAGGATGAATTAAAGAGTTTCAAATCCCTTTTATGGGCTTTTCCCCTCGAAGACGTGCTACAGAAGACCCCATGGTCTGAGGTGGAAGAGGCTGATGGCAAGAAACTGGCAGAAATTCTGGTCAACACCTCCTCAGAAAATTGGATAAGGAATGCGACTGTGAACATCTTGGAAGAGATGAATCTCACGGAATTGTGTAAGATGGCAAAGGCTGAGATGATGGGTAAGTAGAACCTGGGGTGTCCTGGTCATTTTTTTTTTTTTTTTTTTTTTTTTTTGAGATGGAGTCTCGTTCTGTCGCCCAGGCTGGAGTGTAAGGCTGGAGTGCAGTGGCGAGATCTGGGCTCACTGCAACCTCCGCCTCTGGGTTCAAGTGATTCTCCTATCTCAGCCTCCGGAGTAGCTGGGATTACAGGCGTGTTTCACCACACCTGGCTAATTTTTTTTTTTTGTATTTTTAGTAGAGATGGGGTTTTGCCATGTTGGCCAGGCTGGTCTTGATCTCCTGACCTTGTGATCCGCCCACCTCAGCCTTCCAAAGTGCTGTGATTACAGGCATGAGCCACCATGCCTGGCTGACACTTTATGTACAATAATGTCTGATTTACGAAGTGTAAATTACTGTGTCAGGCTTACATCTAAGTATTTTACAGAGGACGGACAGGTGCAAGAAATAGATAATCCTGAGCTGGGAGATGCAGAAGAAGACTCGGAGTTAGCAAAGCCAGGTGGGTAAATACGGTCCTATGGTCATGAGTTTGGTGTTTGAGAGCATGCAAGGTGCATCACTTCTTCCTGGTTTTATTCATTTCTGGTAGTTTTTTTTTTTTTGAGACGGAATCTTGCTCTGTAGCCCGGGCTGGAGTGTAGTGGCTCCGTCTCTGCTCATTGCAACCTCTGCCTCCCGGGTTCAAGCAATTCTCTGCCTCAGCCTCCTGAGTAGCCGGGATTACAGGCGGCCGCCACTACCCCCAGCTAATGTTTTGTATTTTTAGTAGAGATGGGGTTTCACTATCTTGGCCAGGCTGGTCTTGAACTCCTGACCTCAAGTGATCCACCCACCTTGGCCTCCCAAAGTGCCGGGATTACAAGCATGAGACACCGTGCCTGGCCCTCATTTCTGGTACTTGACAAAGTAATTCAGAAAATCATCATCATCAACCTCAACTGTCCTATGGGCTGTCACTGCAGGTGAAAAGGAAGGATGGAGAAATTCAATGGAGAAACAATCTTTGGTCTGGAAGAACACCTTTTGGCAAGGAGACATTGACAATTTCCATGACGACGTCACTCTGAGAAACCAACGGTTCATTCCATTCTTGAATCCCAGAACACCCAGGAAGCTAACACCTTACACGGTGGTGCTGCACGGCCCCGCAGGCGTGGGGAAAACCACGCTGGCCAAAAAGTGTATGCTGGACTGGACAGACTGCAACCTCAGCCCGACGCTCAGATACGCGTTCTACCTCAGCTGCAAGGAGCTCAGCCGCATGGGCCCCTGCAGTTTTGCAGAGCTGATCTCCAAAGACTGGCCTGAATTGCAGGATGACATTCCAAGCATCCTAGCCCAAGCACAGAGAATCCTGTTCGTGGTCGATGGCCTTGATGAGCTGAAAGTCCCACCTGGGGCGCTGATCCAGGACATCTGCGGGGACTGGGAGAAGAAGAAGCCGGTGCCCGTCCTCCTGGGGAGTTTGCTGAAGAGGAAGATGTTACCCAGGGCAGCCTTGCTGGTCACCACGCGGCCCAGGGCACTGAGGGACCTCCAGCTCCTGGCGCAGCAGCCGATCTACGTAAGGGTGGAGGGCTTCCTGGAGGAGGACAGGAGGGCCTATTTCCTGAGACACTTTGGAGACGAGGACCAAGCCATGCGTGCCTTTGAGCTAATGAGGAGCAACGCGGCCCTGTTCCAGCTGGGCTCGGCCCCCGCGGTGTGCTGGATTGTGTGCACGACTCTGAAGCTGCAGATGGAGAAGGGGGAGGACCCGGTCCCCACCTGCCTCACCCGCACGGGGCTGTTCCTGCGTTTCCTCTGCAGCCGGTTCCCGCAGGGCGCACAGCTGCGGGGCGCGCTGCGGACGCTGAGCCTCCTGGCCGCGCAGGGCCTGTGGGCGCAGATGTCCGTGTTCCACCGAGAGGACCTGGAAAGGCTCGGGGTGCAGGAGTCCGACCTCCGTCTGTTCCTGGACGGAGACATCCTCCGCCAGGACAGAGTCTCCAAAGGCTGCTACTCCTTCATCCACCTCAGCTTCCAGCAGTTTCTCACTGCCCTGTTCTACACCCTGGAGAAGGAGGAGGGGGAGGACAGGGACGGCCACGCCTGGGACATCGGGGACGTACAGAAGCTGCTTTCCGGAGAAGAAAGACTCAAGAACCCCGACCTGATTCAAGTAGGACACTTCTTATTCGGCCTCGCTAACGAGAAGAGAGCCAAGGAGTTGGAGGCCACTTTTGGCTGCCGGATGTCACCGGACATCAAACAGGAATTGCTGCAATGCAAAGCACATCTTCATGCAAATAAGCCCTTATCCGTGACCGACCTGAAGGAGGTCTTGGGCTGCCTGTATGAGTCTCAGGAGGAGGAGCTGGCGAAGGTGGTGGTGGCCCCGTTCAAGGAAATTTCTATTCACCTGACAAATACTTCTGAAGTGATGCATTGTTCCTTCAGCCTGAAGCATTGTCAAGACTTGCAGAAACTCTCACTGCAGGTAGCAAAGGGGGTGTTCCTGGAGAATTACATGGATTTTGAACTGGACATTGAATTTGAAAGGTAAGAACTGTTTTCCCATCCCACGCTCCACTAGGAAGAGGCCAGCGTCTCCTTTGCCCTGTCGCTTACTGTCAGAATTTCCCTCTGGCTGGACTTCTTTCCAGCTTCATGTTCAACGTGGAGACACGACTTGGCAATTAGGAATTGGGGCTTTTTATTTTTGAGACGGAGTCTCGCTCTGTCCCCCAGGCTGGAGTGCAGTGGCGCGATCTTGGCTCACTGCAACCTCCGCCTCCCGGGTTCAAGTGATTCTCCTGCCTCAGCCTCCCGAGTAGCTGGGACTATGGGCGTGCACCACCTTGCCCGGTTAATTATTTTATTTTTTTGTAGAGATGGGGGTCTCAGTTTCTAGCCCAAGTTGGTCTTAAACTCCTGGGCTCAAGTGATCTTCCCACTTTGGCCTAGCAAAGTGTTGGGATTACAGGCATGAGCCACCTCACTCAGCCTTATCTATTATTTTATTTTTTTTGTAAAACTTAAGATCTATACTGGTAGCAAAGTATGTGATGCAATATTGTTTACTATAGACACTGTTTTAGGTTGGTGCAAAAGTAATTGTGGTTTTTGCCATTGAAATGTGGTTTGCAGATGCCCATCTCACCATGCAGGTACTAGTCCTAAGAGATGAACGTGTGTTCTCCTGCAGGTGCACTTACCTAACCATTCCGAACTGGGCTCGGCAGGATCTTCGCTCTCTTCGCCTCTGGACAGATTTCTGCTCTCTCTTCAGCTCAAACAGCAACCTCAAGTTTCTGGAAGTGAAACAAAGCTTCCTGAGTGACTCTTCTGTGCGGATTCTTTGTGACCACGTAACCCGTAGCACCTGTCATCTGCAGAAAGTGGAGTAAGTAGAAGCTCATCTTGCAAGGAAGACCCTGAACGATGACTAAGCTTCTTGTACTTTTGTTTTTTAAATTTGGAAATGTGCTGTTTCATCTCCATGTATTTGGGGATTTTCCAGCTGTCTTTTTTTTTTTTTTTTTTTTTGGTGAGACGGAGATTTACTCTTGTTGCCCAGGCTGGAGTGCAATGGCGCGATCTCAGCTCACTGCATCCTCCACCTCCCAGGTTCAAGCAATTCTCCTGCCTCAGCCTCCCGAGTAGCTGGGATTACAGGCATGTGCCACCTTGCCCGGCTAATTTTGTACTTTTAGCAGAGACAGGTTTTCACCGTGTTGCCCAGGCTGATCTCGAGCTCCTGACCTCAGGTGATTTGCCTGCCTCGGCCTTCCAAAGTGCTGGGATTATAGGCATGAGCCGCTGCACCTGGCCCCTTTTTTATTTTTTATTTTTTTTGAGACAGAGTTTCACTCTGTCACCTAGGCGCTGGAGTGCAATGACTTAATCTTGTGTTTTTAGTAGAGGTGGAATTTTCTCCATCTTGGCCAGGCTTGTCTCGAACTCCTGACCTAAGGTGATGCGCCTGCCTCGGTCTTCGAAAGTGCTGGGATTACAGGCATGAGCCACCATGCCTGGCCCCAGCTATCTTTTTTTTGGTTTGTTTTGTTACCAAAACAAACCAAAAAGTAGGTACAAGTACAGGTTAGTTACACAGGTAACCGTGTGTCATAGGAGTTTGTTGTACAGATTATTTTGTCACCCAAGTATTAAGCCTAGTACCCCTTAGTTGTTTTTCCTGATCCTCTGCTTCTTGACTTTTTTTTTTTTTTTTGAGACAGTCTCGCTATGTTCCCCAGGCTGGAGTGCAGTGCAGCAATCTCGGCTCACTGCAAGCCCTGCCTCCCGGGTTCATGCCATTCTCCTGCCTCAGCCTCCCGAGTAGCTGGGACTACAGGCGCCCGCCACCACGCCCGGCTAGTTTTTTGTAATTTTAGTAAAGACGGGGTTTCACCGTGTTAGCCAGGATGGTCTTGATCTCCTGACCTCGTGATCCACCCGCCTCGGCCTCGGCCTCCCAAAGTGCTGGGATTACAGGCGTGAGCCACCACACCCGGCGAATTTTTTTTTCTTTTGAGATGGAGTCTTGCTCTGTTGCCCAGGCTGGAGTGCAGTGGTGCGGTCTCGGCTCACTGCAACCTCTGCCTCCTGGATTCAAGTGATTCTCCTACCTCAGCCTCCCGAATACCTGGGACTACAAGCATGCCCCTCCATGTGCAGCTAATTTTTGTATTTTTAGTAGAGACGGGGCTTCCCCATGTTGGCCAGGCTGGTCTCGAACTCCTGACCTCAGGCGATCTGCCTGCCTCGGCCCCAGCTAATTTATTTTTTGTAGAGATGGAGTTTCACCATGTTGCCCAGGTTGGTCTCAGACTCCTGACCTCAGGTTATCCTCCTGCCTCAGCCTCCCAAAGTGCTGGGGTTACAGACACGAGCCACTGCACCCGGCCAAGAACTTCTAATAATTTCTAAATGTGAAACAGCTTTTTGTTTATACATGCCTCCACACAATGTGAGTATTAATCACTCCAAGTGGAATCTCTTCTGCTTTTCCCTAGGATTAAAAACGTCACCCCTGACACCGCGTACCGGGACTTCTGTCTTGCTTTCATTGGGAAGAAGACCCTCACGCACCTGACCCTGGCAGGGCACATCGAGTGGGAACGCACGATGATGCTGATGCTGTGTGACCTGCTCAGAAATCATAAATGCAACCTGCAGTACCTGAGGTGGGTCTCACGGTCACGGCTCTCCCCAGCACCTGGAGTCCACTGCACCGTGTTGCCGGGGGATCTAGGAAAAAGGGTAACCACTCCAGATGCCGTCCCAGACAGGGAATGTATTCCTCAAACAGGCCTGTGTGGGGGAGTCGGCCTCTCCTCTTTCCCCCACCAGCTTGTCTTCTGTGTTGCATAACCAGCTATCCATGCAAAGAAACACCCCGAATTCTGTGCTGGGTTCCAGCTTTAGGGACATGCTATTCCTGACTGCACCTTGCCTAATTGTTGGGATTGAGAGCAGTGGCCCCCAGCCTTTTCTGCACCGCGGGCCGGTTTTGCACAAGACAGTTTTTTCCACAGACGGGTTTGGGGGTAGTTTTGGGATGAAACTGTTCGATCTCAGATCAGGCACAGGAGCTAATCGTTGGTGCCTGATCCTATGGAGTGCATGATCCTCGCACTTTGGGAGCCTGAGGAGAATGGATCATCAATCTCAGATCATCAGGAGTTAGGTATTCATAAGGAGCATGCAACCTTCTCTGCACTCAATGAGAATCTTTTTTTTTTTTTTTTTTCTTTGAGACAGTTTTATTCTTGTCACCCAGGCTGGAGCGCAGTGGCGCGATCTCGTTCACTGCAACCTCCGCCTCCTGGGTTCAAGCAGTTCTCCTGCCTCAGCTTCCCGAGTAGCTGGGGTTACAGGCGTGCACCACCACGCCTGGCAAATGTTTGTATTTTTAATAGAGACAGGGTTTCACCATGTTGGCCAGGCTGGTCTCGAACTCCTGACCTCAAGTGATCCGCCTGTCTCGGCCTCCCAAAGTGCTAGGATTACAGGCATGAACCACTGCGCCTGGCCAGGATAAAATTTTTATTTTGAGTATTAAGCATCAATTTGCCCCTTCTAGTCCCAGCTACAGTGGATGCTGAGGTGGGAGGATCATTTGAGCCCAGGAGACAGGTTGTGGTGACCTGTGATCATGCCACTGCACTCCAGCCTGGGCAACAGAGCGAGATCCTGTCTCAAAAAAAAAATTTTTTTTCCCCCTGCAAAATCATCCACACAGGCCGTTTTGGTGAAACATTGCACAGAATTGTATTACAATCTCTTGGAGAAGTGGCTGGATGTTACCCTAATGGCCATGGGGATACTTGAAGAAGCAGAGGCAACATTAGATCTCTCCAGTAATTCAGGCCAGGGTTGGAGGCATGAGTAGAATGAGATAAACCAAAGACATAATGTCTTGGGAAGTGAAGCAGAAGAAGCTGATCTGGGCCAGGCGCGGTGGCTCACACCTGTAATCCCAGTACTTCGGTAGGCCAAGGTGGGTGGATCACCTGAGGTCAGGAGTTCAAGACCAGTGTGGCCAACATGGTGAAATCCCGTCTCTACTAAAAATACAAAAATTGGCGAATGCCTGTAATCCCAGCTACTTCGGAGGCTGAGGCAGGAGAATAGCTTGAACCCGGGAGGCGGAGGCTGCAGTGAGGTGAGATCACGCCTTTGCATTCCAGACTGGGCAACAGAGTGAAACTCTGTCTCAAAAAAAAAAAGCTGATAGGGTATACTCTGTCCTCCCAGAAGAATGACTTTTCCCACTCTTTTCACAGGTTGGGAGGTCACTGTGCCACCCCGGAGCAGTGGGCTGAATTCTTCTATGTCCTCAAAGCCAACCAGTCCCTGAAGCACCTGCGTCTCTCAGCCAATGTGCTCCTGGATGAGGGTGCCATGTTGCTGTACAAGACCATGACACGCCCAAAACACTTCCTGCAGATGTTGTCGTAAGTCTCCTCTTCCCATGGGCAGCTCTGGTTTAGTTCTGGGGCTATAGAAGAGAAAGGGTAACACCTGACTTACTGCGCGCACCCACGTGGCGCCTCTTGCTGAAATAAACACCTGCTTCAGGCCCGGCACGGTGGCTCCTGCCTGTAATCTCAGCAGAGAGGTGGGCGGATCATCTGAGTTCAGGAGTTCGAGACCAACCTGGCCAACATGGTGAAACCCTGTTTCTATTAAAAATACCAAAAACAGGCCGGGTGCGGTGGCTCATGCCTGTAATCCCAGCACGTTGGGAGGCCAAGGCGGGGAGATCACGAGGTCAAGAGATCGAGACCATCCTGGCTAACATGGTGAAACCCCGTCTCTACTAAAAAATACAAAAAATTATCCAGGTGTGGTGGGCGCCTGTAGTCCCAGCTACTCAGGAGGCTGAGTCAGCAGAATGGTGTAAACCTGGGAGGCGGCGATTGGCAGTGAACCGAGATCGCGCCACTGCACTCCAGCCTGGGCGACAGAGCGAGACTCCGTCTCAAAAACAACACCTGTGTCCTGTGATGGCTCCAGGTGGACCGCTGCATCTTGGCCTTCTCGCCTTCCTGCTCTTTTGTGGCCATGATGACTCCCACAGGACAGAGGGCAGGGGATGAACAGGAAGGGCTGAAGCTGAGTACCCTAGCATGTGGACATCACTGAGCAGGTTGGAGTTGTGGAAATGTTCTCATCCTTCTACCATTTGTTTCATATTTTTGCAGGTTGGAAAACTGTCGTCTTACAGAAGCCAGTTGCAAGGACCTTGCTGCTGTCTTGGTTGTCAGCAAGAAGCTGACACACCTGTGCTTGGCCAAGAACCCCATTGGGGATACAGGGGTGAAGTTTCTGTGTGAGGGCTTGAGTTACCCTGATTGTAAACTGCAGACCTTGGTGTAAGTCCCTGCTGGGTGTGTGTGTGTGTGCACATGAATTCAAGCAGGAGAGACATGAAAGTACTTGTTAATTCATTTCAAATGTAACTTTTAAAAACCTGGTAAGAATTAAAGAACAGGCAGAGGCCAGGCGTGGTGGCTCATGCCTGTAATCCCAGCACTTTGGGAGGCCGAGGCGGGTGGATCATGAGGTCAGGAGATGGAGACCATCCTGGTTAACATGGTGAAACCCTGTCTGTACTAAAAATACCAAAAATTAGCCAGGTGTGGTGGCGGATGCCTGTAGTCCCAGCTACTTGGGAGGATGAGACAGGAGAATGGCGTGAACCTGGAAGGCGGAGGTTGCAGTGAGCCGAGATCGCACCACTGCACTCCAGCCTGGGCGACAGAACAAGACTCCTTCTCAAAAAAACAAAGAAACAAAAAAAACCAGGCAGATACAGGTAGAAACATGTTAATATTTGCATGTCAGCAGAGCCTCTTCCTGCTATGAAGGAAGATTTGAGATGAGTAGTTGGTTCTCGGATCTGATGCTTTGTGTGTGTTCTTTCAAATTCCTATGACATAGTACTGCCTGCTATTGGAGGTAGATTGAGTTATGTGGTAGGGCCAGTGGCACCTTTTTTTAAACTTTTATTTCCATAGGTTATTGGGGAACAGGTGGTGAATGGTGGGCAGATCACCTAAGGTTCGAGACCAGCCTGGCCAACATGGTGAAAACCCATCGCTACTAAAAAATACAAAAATTAACCAGGCTTGGTGGTGCGTGCCTATAGTACCAGCTACTCAGAAGGCTGAGGTAGGAGAATCGCTTGAATCTGGGAGGCAGAGGCTGCAGTGAGCTGAGATGGCGCCACTGCACTCCAGCCCGGGCGACAGAGTGAGACTCCGTCTCAAGAAAAAAACAAAAAAAAACTCAACAAAAATCCTTATTTGTAAAAGACATAGGTGGCAGGTTGGAATTGACCCACGAACTATAGTTGGCTGAATCTTGTTATATGGAAAGAAGCCCAGCGTGAGCTACCTGTTCACATTAAAATTATGGTTAGAAAAATATTCAAGAGATTGCATAGGGTTGAAGACCTGTTCCTGTTCAGAAATTCTAGCTAGTGGTCATTTCTGAGATTCATTTTTTTTTTTTTGGATGAAGTCTCACTCTGTCGCCCAGACTGGAATGCAGTGGTGTAATCTTGGCTGACTGCAACTTCTGCCTCCCAGGTTCAAGCGATTCTCCTGCCTCAGCCTCCCAAGTAGCTGGGATTACAGGTGCCCTCCACCATGCCTGGCTAATTTTTGCACTTTTAGTGGAGATGAGGTTTCACCATGTTGGCCAGGCTGGTCTTGAACTCCTGGCCTTAAGTGATCTGCCTGCCTCGGCCTCCCAAAGTGCTGGCGTTCCAGGCATGAGCCACTGTGCCTGGCTTAGAATAACTATTGTTAAACAAACAGTCACCTACCTGATCGTTATACGAAGTGTACCTGCACCAAAACATCACACTATACCCCTATATATGTAGAATGTGTCAGTTAAAGACAAAACTTAAACATGAAATAAAATGACAGGGAAAGTGAAATTTCCATAATCTAACCACGCAGAAAATAAGTGACCCAGGGCTCAGATCCTGTCCTGGGTCGGTCTGAACCCAGAGCCTAAGCTGTTGTCCCAGGCAGAGCTGGAAATGGATGGAATCAGAAGGCCATTTGGATGTTTTTTTTTTTTTTTTAACAGTCTCTCTCTGTCACCAGGCTGGAGTGCAGTGGTGCGATCTTGGCTCACTGCAACCTCCGCTTCCTGGGTTCAAGTAATTCTCCTACCTCAGCCTCCTGAGTAGCTAGGATTACAGGCATGGGCCGCCACACCTGGCTAATTTTTTTTTTTTTTTGAGATGGAGTTTCGCTCTTGCCCAGGCTGGAGTGCAATGGTGCAATCTCTGCTCACCACAACCTCCGTCTCCCCAGTTCAAGAGATTCTCCTGCCTCAGCCTCCTGAGTAGCTGGGATTACAGGCATGTGCCACCACACCTGGCTAATTTTGTATTTTTAGTAGAGACGGGTTTCTCCATATTGCTTAGGCTGGTCTTGAACTCCCGACCTCAGGTGATCTGTCTGCCTCAGCCTCCCAAAGTGCTGAGATTACAGGTGTGAGCCATCGTGCCCAGCTAATTTTTGTATTTAGTAAAGATGGGGTTTCACCACTTTGGCCAGGCTGGTCTTGAACTCCTGATCTTGTGATTCACCCACCTTGGTCTCCCAAAGTGCTGAGATTACAGGTTTGAGCCACCGCGCCCGGCCCGATTTTTGTATTTTTTAGTAGAGATGGGGTTTCACCATGTTGGCCAGGCTGGTCTTGAACTCCTGACCTCAAATGATCTGCCCGTCTTGGCCTCCCACTGCTGTGATTATAGGCGTGAGCCACTGTGCCCGGCCCATTTGCATGCTTTTATGTGCAAGCCCACCTGGAAGTATATAGCTCCAGTTCATGGGTCAATTCCTACCTGCCACCTATGTTTTATATAAATACTTTTTGTTGTTGTTGTTGTTTTCTTGAGACGGAGTCTCGCTCTGTCGCCCGGGCTGGAGTGCAGTGGCGCGATCTCAGCTCACTGCAGCCTCTGCCTCCCGGATTCAAGCGATTCTCCTGCCTCAGTCTTCTGAGTAGCTGGCACTACAGGCGTGCACCACCAAGTCTGGTTATATAGGTGGCGGGCACCTATAATCCCAGCTACTTGGGAGGCTGAGGCAGAAGAATCGCTTGAACCTGGGAGGCAGAGGTTGCAGTGAGCCAAGAGTGCAGCACTGCATTCCAGTATATAAGTGGAAGGTATATAGTGTTGGAAATAACTGCTTCACAGGGCGTTAGCCAGAGGGATAACAGGCTTCTCTTCCTTTGATTATCCTGTAGGTTACAGCAATGCAGCATAACCAAGCTTGGCTGTAGATATCTCTCAGAGGCGCTCCAAGAAGCCTGCAGCCTCACAAACCTGGACTTGAGTATCAACCAGATAGCTCGTGGATTGTGGATTCTCTGTCAGGCATTAGAGAATCCAAACTGTAACCTAAAACACCTACGGTAGGCGATTTTCTTTTTCTTCTTTCTTTCTTTTTTTGAGACAGGGTCTTGCTCTGTCCCCCAGCCTGGAGTGCAGTGGGGTGATTACGGCTCACTGCGGCTTCGGTCTTCCAGGCTTGATCGGTTCTCCCACCTCAGCCTCCTGAGTAGCTGGCTCTACAGGCATGTATTACCATGGCCAGGTAACTGTTTTCTGTAGAGATGAGGTCTTGTCATCTTTCCCGGGCTGGTTTTGAATTCTGGTGCTCAAGGAATCCTCCCACCTCGGCCTCCCAATGTGCTAGGATTACAGGCATGAGCCATCATGCCTGGCCTCATTTTTAAAGTGTTTGGAAATCTGGAAATCCTTAATTTCTATGTTTTCTTTTTTTTTTTTTTTTTTTGAGACGGAGCCTCGTTCTAGTTGCCCAGGCTGGAGTGCAGTGGCGCGATCTCGGCTTACTGCAACCTCTTCCTCCCGGGTTCTCGCTATTCTCCTGCCTCAGCCTCCTGAGTAGCTGGGACTACAGATGCCCGCCACCGTGCCTGGCTAATTTTTTTTGTATTTTTAGTAGAGATGGGTTTCACAGTGTTAGCCAGGATGGTCTCGATCTCCTGACCTCATGATCTGCCCGCCTTGGCCTTCCAAAGTGCTGGGATTACAGGCGTGAGCCACCACGCCCGGCCAATTTCTATGTTTTCAATATCTCAGACTGTATCACTTCGGATCCAGTTTTAAGATCAAACCCCTCCAGAAACTGAATATATGTGGGTGGGCACTTCTAAAGTCAGGTAGAGGGCCTGGAGAAGTGAAATATATATAACAATGGCCCCCAGTGACCTGGACTTCAGCAGCATGCTGCTTCTGCTGGGATCCAGTAATCAGGAAGCAGTGAGCCTGCCCCACCTCATAAACCCAGGGAACCATAGGTGGGATACCACCCCCAGAAAATGCAAAGTCTCCACAAATGGAATGGCGAGCTCTTCATCACTTCTCTCCCCAAAGTTTGTCAGTTGCATCTCTTGGATGCAACCTATTTTCCAACTAGAATCTGCAATCCTAATGCAAAGAGAATCTGCACGTCATTACTACTTAGCTTTGCTGTAGAGTAAAGAAAAAAAACACTAGAACACAGGGTACTTTTTTTCTTTTTTCAGACAGAGTCTCGCTTTGTCACCCAGGCTGGAGTGCAGTGGTGCGATCTTGGCTCACTGCAACCTCAGCCTCCAAGGTTCAAGCGATTCTCCTGATTGAGCTGAGTAGTTGGGATTACAGGCGTGCACCACCATACCCAGCTAATTTTTGTATTTTTAGTAGAGACCAGGTTTCACCATGTTAGCCAGACTGGTCTCAAACTCCTGACCTCAAGTGATCCACCTGCCTCAACCTCCCAAAGTGCTGGGATTACAGGCATGAGCCACCATTCCTGGCCTCCTGAAGTTTCTTAACCCATCCCCCTGAGGAATATTTCAAGCCTCAAGCCAGACCGTGATACCTTTATTTCCAAAGACTCAAAAGCTCAATGCAAACGGGTGGATTACCTGGTGTCTTGTTCCTGTAATCTCAGCTATGACTGTAATCCTAGATTCTCGGGAGGCTGGGGCAGGAGAATCGCTTGAACCCAGGAGGCGGAGGTTGCAGTGAGCCGAGATCACGCCATTGCACTCCAGCCTTGGCAACAAGAGTGAAACTCTGCCTTAAAAAAAACAAAACCAAAGGCTTCTACAGTGGCCTACAGGGCCTTATGGGGGATCCTCGTGTAAGTTATGAGCCATAAATCATTCTACTTTCTCACTAGCTCAGTATTTTATTTACAAGATTCCCTCCCCCAGTTAGCATGCTGGTTCATGATCTACCATCCTTCAGTTTCTTTCCTCATATCACTTTCCAAAAGAGGACTTAAATGACCAGCATAAGTCTAGCCAATCAATGCCTCTCTGTTTGACTTACCTCTACCCTGTTTATTTTAATACCATCATCCATTGTCTTCAATAGAACATATCGAGATGTCTGCTGTCACTAAAAACTCTGAGGACAAGGATTTCTTCTGCTCACTCCCCTCTGCCTTTCCTCACTACTGGAGCCCCAGCAAATATGCTGCTTGTTTTTTTGTTTTGTTTTGTTTGAGACCAAGTCTCACTCTTTCACCCAAGCTGGAATGCAGTGGTGATATGTTGGCTAACTACAACCTCTGCCTCCTGGTTCAGGCGATTCTCCTGCCTCTCGAGTAGCTGGAATTATAGGTGGTTCCACCATACCTGGCTAATTTTTGTATTTTCATTTTATGTTATATATTTGTGAGATGGAGTCTCATTCTATTGCCCAGGCTGGAGTGCAGTGGCGCAATCTGGGCTCACTGTAACCTCCGCCTCCCAGGCTGAAGCGATTCTTGTGCCTCAGCCTCCCAAGTAGCTAGCATTAAAGGCACACACCACCATGCATGGCTAATTTTTTGTAGAGATGGGGTTTTGCCATGTTGGCCTGGCTGGTCTCGAACTCCTGACCTCAGGTGATCTACCCTCCTCGGCCTCCCAAGGTGCTGGGGCTACAGGTGTCTGTCCCCACGCCCTGCCTAATCTTTGTATTTTTAGTAGAGATGGGGTTTGACCGTGTTGGCAAGGCTGGTCTCGAACACCTGGCCTCAAGTGATCCACCCGCCTTGGCCTCCCGAAGTGTTGGGATTACACGCTTGAGCCACTACCTGCTCAGTGAATGCGTGGATTTCCATGTTCTTCCTCAACAGCCTCTGGAGCTGCTCCCTCATGCCTTTCTATTGTCAGCATCTTGGATCTGCTCTCCTCAGCAATCAGAAGCTTGAAACTCTGGACCTGGGCCAGAATCATTTGTGGAAGAGTGGCATAATTAAGCTCTTTGGGGTTCTAAGACAAAGAACTGGATCCTTGAAGATACTCAGGTATGGGTTTTTTGTTTTGTTTTGTTTTGTTTTTTGTTTTTGTTTTTTTGAGATGGAGTCGTGCTCTGTCATTCAGGCTGGAGTGCAGTGGCGCAATCTTGGCTCACCGCAACCTCTGCCTCTCAGGTTCAAGCAATTCTCCTGCCTCAGCCTCATGAGTAGCTGGGCCTAGAGGCATGCCAACATGTCCAGCTAATTTTTTTCTTTTTCTTTTTTTTTTTTTGAGACGGAGTTTTGTTCTTGTAGCCCAGGCTGGAGTGCAGTGGTGCGATCTTGGCTCACTGCAACCCCCACCTCCTGGGTTCAAGCGATTCTCCCACCTTGGCCTCCCAAGTAGCTGGAATTACAGATGCCTGCCACCATGCCTGGCTAATTTTTTAGTAGAGAGGGGTTTCACCATGTTGGCCAGGCTAGTCTTGAACTCCTGACCTCAGGTGAGCCACCTGCCTCGGCCTCCCAAAGTGGTGGGATTACAGAGGTGAGCCATTGCACCCGGCCTTTTTGGTTTTTGCTTTTTGGGATGGAGTCTCACTGTTGCCCAGGCTGGAGTGCAGTGGCGCGATCTTGACTCACTGCAGCCTCCTTCTCACAGGTTGAAGCGATTTTCCTGCCTCAACCTCCTGAGTAGCTGGGATTACAGGTACACACCACCACAGCTGGCTAATTTTTTTTTTTTTTTTTTTTTTTTAAAGACAGAGTCTCTCTCTGTCCCCCAGGCTGGAGTGCAGTGGCGCTATCTCGGCTCAGTGCAACCTCTGCCTCCTGGGTTCAAGTGATTCTCCTGCCTCAGCCTCCTGAGTAGCTAGGATTACAGTCGCTCGCCACCACACCCAGCTAATTTTTGTATTTTTAGTAGAGATGGGGTTTTGCCATGTTGGCCAGGCTGGTCTCGAGCTCCTGACCTCAGGTGATCTTCTCGCCTTGGCCTCCCAAAGTGCTGGGATTACAGGCATGAGCCACTGCACCTGGCCAATTTTTGTAGTTTTTAGTAGAGATGGGGTTTCACCATGTTGGTCAGGTTGGTCTCAAACTCCCAACCTCAGGTGATCCACCTGCCTCAGCCTCTCAAAGTGCCGGGATTACAGGCGTGAGCCACTGTGCTCGGCCCTGGGATGGCTGTTTCACATGGTGAATTTCCCATGCAGAGAAGAGTTTTTTTGGGAGTGTGTGTACTCTTTGTAGGGATCAACTTAAGGCATCTTTCTATAGCACACTCCTAGCTTAGGAGATAATTTAAAAATTAGATACTTTTCTAAAATGCTCTGTGAATTGAATATTGTCCAACTTTCCCCCAAAACACTTAGTCCTAGGCATACTGAGAGTTTAAATCATCCTGGAGTACAGACTGGAAGCTTGTGTGTATGTGTGTGCATGAGCACACACACACACACACACACACCCCTAATCATTATATCCAAAAATAGGTAGTTCCCAGAGCTGTCCTGGGTCTTAGCTTTTCAGAAGATCGTCCTACAGATGCTCCCTTAGTTGTGACCCGTGTATATCTTTTCAATGACTTATTTGTATTTTTTATTTTTTTTTGAGACGGAGTCTTTTTTTTGAGACGGAGTCTGTCTTTTTTTTTGAATCTGTCTTTTTTTTGAGACAGAGACTCCAGTCTCTGTCGCCCAGGCTGGAGTGAAGCGGTGCGATCTCGGCTCACTGCAAGCTCCACCTCCCGGGTTCACGCCATTCTCCTGCCTCAGCCTCCCGAGCAGCTGGGACTACAGGCGCCCGCCACCACGCCCGGCTAATTTTTTGTATTTTTAGTAGAGATGGGGTTTCACTATGTTGGCCAGGCTGGTCTCGAATTCCTGACCTCAGGTGATCTGCCCACCTCGGCCTCCCAAAGTGCTGGGATTACAGGCGTGAGCCACCGCGCCCGGCCTCAGTGACTTATTTTAACGTAATCTACCTTTAGTTTCTTCTTGCCTTTGTCTTTTCTTTTCTGAGACAACGTTTTGCTCTGCTGCACTGTGTGGCCGTGTTGCCGAGGTTCTCAAACTCCTGGCTTCAAACGATCCTCCTGTCTTGGCCTCACAAAGTACCCGGATTGCAGGCGTGAGCCACTGTGCACAGCCCACTTGTCTTATTCAAGAGTTATTTTAGTTGTAGAGATGATACGCATGTAAACTGCTTCATGATGCCCAGTGTTGCATTATTGGAACGCTAAGCATGTGGGAGTTATTTATATCCTGCTCAAGGTACGATTTTTCACACGTCTGCAGTTCAAATAATTGTAACCTCTGGCATAAATGGGTTAAGGTTTTAGGGGTATATCATGAAACTTGAGCTAAATAGTGTCATGCTTCTCTTGTTGGTGGGACCGAGGTCTGTAATGCCACCAAGGACTATTGGTGACAAATCTCTAGCCCCCTGTGGTCTCTTATGTCATATGTTTGGGGCGTATTTCTTTTCTCATTCCTCAGTTCCTCCTTTGGGAGGCCAAGGTGGGAGGATTGTTTGAGGCCAGGAGTTTGAGACCAGCCTGGGCAACATAGCAAGCCAGTGTCTCCACAATCACCACCCCTCATGTTCACATACACAGGCTTGCATGCTGCAGCCACGTTAGAGCCAAGTTTGCTATCATTAACCCTGGGGTTCACTCTGGCATTCTCTTAGTTCTACTGAAGGTTTGATTTGCCACTATTTTTTATTTATTTATTTGGAGGCAGAGTCTCGCTCTGTCACCCGGGCTGCAGTACAGTGGTGCGGTATTGGCTCACTGCAACATCTGCCTCCCAGGTTCAAAGCGATTCTCCTGTCTCAGCCTCCTGAGTAGCTGGTATTACAGTTGTCTGCCACCATGCC
Source organism: Homo sapiens (assembly GCF_000001405.40). NCBI lineage: Eukaryota > Metazoa > Chordata > Mammalia > Primates > Hominidae > Homo > Homo sapiens. The sequence continues at coordinate 829,143 of NW_003571060.1, read as the reverse complement.
CAGCTAATTTTTGTATTTTTAGTAGAGACGGGGTTTCACTATGTTGGCCAGGCTGGTCTCGAATTCCTGACCTCAGGTGATCTGCCCGCCTCGGCCTCCCAAAGTGCTGGAATTATAGGCGTGAGTCACCGTGCACCAGCCTGATTATCTATTTTTTAAATTTATTTTTTAAAGGCATGTTTTACTCTGTTACCAGGCTGGAGTGCAGTAGGGCAATCTCTAGCTCGTTGCAACCTCCGCCTCCTGGGCTCAAGTGATCCTCTTGCCTCCGCCTCCCGAGTAGCTGGGACTATAGGCGTGCACCACCATTCCTGGCTAACTTTTTCTATTTTTGGTAGAGACAGGGTTTCACCGTGTTGCCCAGGCTGGCCTTGAACTGCGGAGCTCAAGCAATCTGCCTGCCTTGGCCTCCCAAAGTGCTGGGACTACAGGTGCGAGACACCGTGCCTGGCCATAATCTTTTTTTTCTTAGACTTATAAGGATCCCCATTGTGTGGGTCTAAATTTCTTTTTAGAAAACTTTTCTGACTGGGTGCTGTGGCTCACATCTGTAATCCCATGGCTTTGGGAGGCCGAGGTGGATGGATCACTTGAGGCCAGAAGTTCGAGACCAGCCTGGCTAACATGTCGAAACCCCATCTCTACTGTAAATACAAAACTTAGCCAAGCGTGGTGGTGCACACCTGTAATCACAGTTACTCAGGAGCCTGAGGCATGAGAATTGCTTGAACTTGGGAGCTGGAGGTTGCAGAGAGCCAAGATGGCACCACTGTACCCCAGCCTGGGCAACAGAGCAAGACCCTGTCCCCCAGAAAATCCCAAAAACGTTTCCTGCTTTGAGTGTTTGAAAACAGATATTCAGGCATCCTGGGTAGTTGAGAATGAATTTCTGGGAACATTTGTGTTCTCTGATCCCTCCAGGTTGAAGACCTATGAAACTAATTTGGAAATCAAGAAGCTGTTGGAGGAAGTGAAAGAAAAGAATCCCAAGCTGACTATTGATTGCAATGCTTCCGGGGCAACGGCACCTCCGTGCTGTGACTTTTTTTGCTGAGCAGCCTGGGATCGCTCTACGAATTACACAGGAAGCGGGATTCGGGTCTCTAAGATGTCTTATGAATGCAGGTCAGAGGGTCACATGTTAACACTAGAGTCTGTCGAGAGGTAGGATTTGACACTGGTTTTCTCACTATTTTTGGGAGATTCTGCACGAGTCACGCACCCCCTTCACATGACGCTATGTACTTTCTCACAGGGATAATAAAGTTAGAGCACTCTCGTTGCAGCTGCGTTTATTGACATGCTCAGGAGCAAACCTGCAATAAACATGGTACTCTGTGCTTTGTCTAGGAGGAAGTATTGCTAAGAAGTTCAGGGATGATTCGGTTGATTCTTCTATTTCTTTTCTTCCCTAACTCAGGCGCCATGTGGTCTACTATCTGCCAGGTGCATCTATGTGATCAGTGTGTCTTTGTGACTTATGTGATCATAACTTATGTGATCAACCCACGCATTGACAAACGGGCCAGATAGTTCATATGCTTGGCACTGTGGGCCCCGCGGTCTCTCATCAGCTCTCAGCTGTGCCTTTGGACATGGAAGCAGCGCAGGGCCTGGCTGGCACCTGCGGAGGCTTCCCAGAAACAGCTCGTGGGCCATGGGCAGCCAGCCCTGTTCTAATCTATCCTGTTACTCACAAAGCACAAGCTTACAGTCACTGTTGCCTTTAATTCAGAAGATGGCCCTGCCTCACGCTGGTTCTGCTCGGCTCCCACGGGCCGCCTCCTACTCTCTGTGTGTGTGTGTATGTGTCTCTCTCTCTCTCTGTCTCTGTGTGTCTCTCTTTGTTTCTCTGTGTCTGTCTTTTTGTCTCTCTGTCTCTGTGTCTGTTTCTGTGTGTGTGTCTCTGTGTCTGTCTGTGTTTCTCTGTGTGTGTCTCTGTCGCTGGGCGTTTCTATCTCTGTCTTTGTATGTGTCTCTCTGTTCTTTCGTTTTTTTTTTTTGTTTTTTTTTTTGAGACGGAGTTTCACTCTTGTCGCCCATGCTGGAGTGCAATGGCGTGATCTCAGCTCACTGCAACCGCGCCTCCCAGGTTCAAGTGATTCTCCTGCCTCAGCCTTCCGAGTAGCCGGAATTACAGCCCTGTGCCACCATGCCTGGCTAATTTTTTGTATTCTTACTAGAGACGGGGTTTCACAATGTTGGCCAGGCTGTTCTCGGACTCCTGACCTCAGGTGATCTACCCGCCTCAGCCTCCCAGAGTGGTGGGATTACAGGCGTGAGCCACCGAGCCCAGCCTGTCTGTCTGTTTCTGTGTGAGTCTGTGTGGCTGTCTCTGGGAGTCTCTGTGTATGTCTCTGTCTCTCTCGCCTCCCCGTTTCTCTCGGCTTCCCATTGCCATGGCAAACACAGCTTTTCCACACCCTGTATTTGGTCATTCATAGAAAATGCATAGAAGTCACTCCGCAATTTTCCTTAAGAATGAAAAGTTGTCACCATGATGTTAGCACTGGCTTCCAGGCGCTGCCAAAAGGGACTGACCCCTCTCCTCACTTGGCTCTCCACGCTTGCGGTAGGTGATGAGACTATTTTAATAAGAGCAGCCAGGCGCTGTGGCTCACACCTGTAATCCCAGCACTTTGGGAGGCCGAGGCGGGCGGATCACCTGAGGTCAGGAGTTCGAGACCAGCCTCAACATGGAGAAACCCCGTCTCTACTAAAAATACAAAATTAGCCGGGTGGGGTGGTGTATGCCTGTAATCCCAGCTACTCGGGAGGCTGAGGCAGGAGAATCGCTTGAACCCGGGAGGCGGAGTTTGCGGTGAGCTGAGATTGTGCCACTGCACTCCAGCCTGGGCAATAAGAGCAAAACTCTTGTCTCGAAAAAAAAAAAATAAGAGCATTGATATGGGGAAAGTTGTCATGGTCCCAGGCACAAAAACACGGGCATATGGCTAATGCTTTAGGTTGAAAGCTTGTATGACAAAGTTTTCTTTTCTTTTTTTTTTTTTTTTTTTTTTTGAGATGGAGTCTTGCCTCTGTCGCCCAGGCTGGAGTGCAGTGGTGCGATCTTGGCTCACTACAACCTCTGCCTCCTGGGTTCAAGTGAGTCTTCTGTCCCAGCCTCCGGAGTAGCTGAGACTAGAGGTGTGCGTCACCATGCCTGGCTAATTTTTGTATTTTTAGTAAAGACGAGGTTTCACCATGTTAGCCAGGCTGGTCTTGAACTCCTGACCTCAGGTGATCTGCCCGCCTTGGCCTCCCAAAGTGCTGGGATGACAGGCGTGAGCCACTGTGCCTGGCCTGACAAAGTTCTTTTTACTAACCCAAACCTGGAGGTTGAGTGGCTTCAGCACTGAATGATCCCATGAAGGCCCTCATTTATCTTGCTGTTGAGCATTGCTGTCTTTCGTGAGCCCTTGTCAAGATAAGTCTTCTCAAATGCTCGAGATCACTGTGGTGTTTAAGGCTACAGTCAGCTGGTAGTAATGCAGGCTGTGGGTGGTAACAGTGTTTAGCGGGATACAGCTCACACCGATGGGAAGGGTGGTAGAGACAGCGTGAATAAAGGAAGTGGTCAGGTGATGAGAGGTAGGGCTGAGTCAACATTTAGGGTTCTACATGCACATGAAGTTCCCGTGTAGAATTTGCTAAAAATAAAGACACAAAGATAGTAGGTAGAGGCTGGGAGTGAAAACATCTGGGTCGGACTCTGCTGCATATTTAATTGAAGTTTTTTTCCCCTAAATATTTTATCTACTTAAAAATTTTGATTTTGTTTAAGATAGTAGTCTTTTTTTTGGTGGGGTGGTGGGGCGGACAGAGTCTCACTTGGTTGCCTAGGCTGGAGTGCAGTGGCGTGATTTCACCATGTTGGCCAGGCTAGTCTCAAACTCCTGACCTCAGGTGAGCCACCCGCCTCGGCCTCCCAAAGTGCTGGCATGACAGGCGTGAGCCACCGTGCCCAGCCAAGATGGTGGTGGTGCTGTGTTGCCCACAGCCGGGTTGGAGTGCAATGGTGCGATCTTAGCTCACTGCAGCCTTAAACTCAAGGAATCCTCCCACCTGAGCCTCCTGAGCTGGGATTACAGGTGCATGCCAAACATGCTTGGCTAATTTTAAAATATTTTATAGAGATGGAGTCTTGCTGTATTGACCAGGCTTGTCTTGAACTGCTGGCCTCCAGTTATCCCCTTGCCTTCGCTTCCCAAAGTGCTGGGATTACACGCGTGAGCTGCCACACTGGGCTCTTACCCACTTACCAGTAATAAACACAGAACTCCTAAAGTGCTGTGATTACGGCGCCTGACCAGCCTTAATTACCTCTGAAAAGCCCTGTGTCCAAATAGAGTCACATCTGGGGTAGGGCTTGTACATGACGTTTGGTGGGACCAATTCAGTCCGTAGCAAGGACTGTCCTGTGTATCACGTGATGTATAGCAGCACCCCTGGACTTGGATGAGCCTGAGCCTGCCCCCACTGCAACTCGTGACAACCAAAAAACCTCTCGGGATGTGGCCAGATACCCCCATGGGGACAAAATCACCCCCAGTTAAGAATGGCTGGCTCAGCCATTCACAATTGCAAAGATGTGGAACCAACCGAAGTGCCCATTGAATAATGAGTGGATTGTGGGCGGCAAGGCACCCAGGCACCGAGGCAAGAGACAGAGGACACGAGCTGTTCCAGTATAATAAAATATAAAACAAGAATTGTTATACCAGATATAGATCTTAGATATGATTATATATGAGTATCATTAATCATTAGCCGGTAGCAATTACTTTTTATTCCAATATTATAATAATCCTCACTCTATAATCATAGCCTAGGAAAAACCAGGCCATACAGAGATAGGAGCTGAGGGGACATAGTGAGGTGTGACCAGAAGACAAGAGTGCGAGCCTTCTGTTATGCCCGGACAGGGCCACCAGAGGGCTCCTTGGTCTAGCGGTGACGCCAGCGTCTGGGAAGACACCCGTCACCAAGCGGATCATGGTCCAGCGGTAGCAAAAGGTGTCAATTAACAACACCCGCTACTTAGCAGACCGGGAAAGGGGCAGCGGGTGGGGGGGGGGGTCTCCCTTTCCCCGGGGGAGTTTAGAGAAGACTCTGCTCCTCCACCTCTTGTGGAGGGCCTGACATCAGTCAGGCTCGCCCGCAGTTATCCGGAGGCCTAACCGTCTCCCTGTGATGCTGTGCTTCGGTGGTCACGCTCCTAGTCCGCCTTCATGTTCCATCCTGTACACCTGGCTCTGCCTTCTAGATAGCAGTAGTAAATTAGGGAAAGTACTAATAGTCCCTGATATGCAGAAATAATGGCGTAAGCTGTCTTTCTCTCTGTCTCCTCTCCCTCTCTGCCTCGGCTGCCAGGCAGGGAAGGGCCCCCTGTCCAGTGGACACGTGACCCACGTGACCTTACCTATCATTGGAGGTGACTCACACTCTTTACCCTGCCCCTTCTGCCTTGTATCCAATAAATAACAGCGCAGCCAGACATTCGGGGCCACTACCGGTCTCCGCGCATTGGTGGTAGTGGTCCCCCGGGCCCAGCTGCCTTTTCTCTTGTCTCTTTGTCTTGTGTCTTTATTTCTACACTCTCTCGTCGCCGCACACAGGGAGAGACCCACCGACCCTGTGGGGCTGGTCCCTACAGTGGATAAAGAAAACGTGGTGTCTATGTACCATGGAATACTATTCAGCCATTAGAAGGAATGAAATAATGTCATTTCCAGCAATTTGGATGGAGCTGGAGGCCATTATTCTAACAGGAGTAGAATCCATATGTTCTCACTTTTTTTTTTTTTTTTTAAGACAGTTTTGCTCTTGTTGCCCAGGCTAGAGTGCAATGGTGTGATCTTGGCTCACCGCAACCTCCGCCTCCTGGGTTCAAGCGATTCTCCAACCTCAGCCTCCCTAGTAGCTGGGATTATAGGCACGTGCCACCACACCCAGCTATGTATTTTTCTATTTTTAGTAGAGATGGGGTTTCACCATGTTGGCCAGACTGGTCTTGAACTCCTGGCCTCAGGCGATACACCTGCCTCAGCACCCCCAAAGTGATGGGATTACAGGCGTGAGCCACCGCCACCGTGCCTGGCTCTGTATGTTCTCAGTGGGAGCTAAGCTGTTGGTACACAAAGGCAGAGTGATGTAATGGGCTTCAGAGTCTCAGAAGGGGGAGGGCAGAAGGGAGGCCACAGATAAAAAACTACACATTAGGCCAGTGTGGTCGCTCACGCCTGTAATCTCATCACTTTGGGAGACCCAGGCGGGCCGATCACTTGAGGCCAGGAGTTCGAGACCATCCTGACCAAGATGGTGAAACCCTGTCTTTACTTACTAAAAGTACAAAAAATTAGCCAGGCATGGTAGTGGGTGTCTGTAATGCCAGCACTTTGGGAGGCCAAGGTGGGAGAATCGCTTGAACCCGGGAGGCGGAGGTTGTTGCAGTGAGCTGAGGCCACGACACTGCACTCCAGCCTGGGTAACAGAGCGAGACTTGGTCTCTAAATAAATAAAATAAAGGGCTCAGACTCTATCTCAAAAAATAAATGAATAAGGCCGGGTGCGGTGGCTTACACCTGTAATCCCAGCACTTTGAGAGGCCGAGGCGGGAGGATCACGAGGTCAGATCGAGACCATCCTGGCTAACATGGTGAAACCCCGTCTCTACTAAAAATACAAAAAATTAGCCGGGCTAGGTGGCGGGCGCCTGTAGTCCCAGGAGAATGGTGTGATCCCGGGAGGCGGAGCTTGCAGTGAGCAGAGATCGCGCCACTGCAGTCCAGCCTGGGCGACAGAGCAAGACTCTGTCTCAAGAAAAATAAATGAATAAAAACAATAAGAAAGAAAAATAGCCACGTCTTACGTAGGCTGAGACTGGAGAGTTTCCGTGGACTCGTAACCCTGCCTTTGTCCCTGCACTGAAGGGTGTAAGGTGGTTGCTTTCTGCATGAGCCAGTGTTTCTCAGCCTTGGTGCTGCTGCCATCTGGGGCTGCCCTGGGCATTGTAGGAAGCTGAGCAGCACCCCTGGACCCTACCTACCAGATGCCAGTAGAACCCCTCCCCAAGTCATGACAATTAAAAATTACCATGGGCATTGCCAAATGTCCCCTGGAGTGGAGAGCAAAATCACCCAGCAGAGAACTGCTAGGCTAGAGAGGTGCAGGATCCTAGGCTGGGTGCGGGGGCCTGTAATCCTCGCACTTTGGGAGGCCAAGGTGGGCGGATCACATGAGGTCGGGAGTTCAAGACCAACCTGGCTAACATGGTAAAACCCCCATCTCCACTAAAAATACAAAAATTAGCCAGGCGTGGCGGCACATGCCTGTAGTCCCAGCTCCTTGGGGGGCTGAGGCAGGAGAATCGCTAGACCCCAGCAGGCAGAGGTTGCAGTGAGCCAAGATGGCACCACTGCATTCCATCCTGGGCGACAGAGCAAGACTGTAGTTTTTTTGTTTTTGTTTTTGTTTTTTTTTGAGGAGTCACAGTCTGTCACTCAGGCTGGAGTGCAGTGGCGCAATCTCGACTCACTGCAACCTCTGCCTCCCGGGTTTGAACGATTCTCCTGCCTCAGCCTCCCGAGTAGCTGGGATTGGCTCTGGTGGTGGAGGTGCCTGCAAACCTGTTGGTACTGTAACCGTCAGAAAACGAGTAGCAAGAAGTGTCCGAGAAAGCCAGAGAAGTGAGTCCTTCGAGGAGGAAGTGGTCAACGTGTCAAATACAACTGTGGGGGAGCAATAATGAGAAGGGCTGAAAAGGGTCACTGCATGTTCCAGGAAGGAAGCTCATTAGTGTTGGTCACACAGACAGCTTCAGAGGAAGTGTGGGGAGAGAAGCCAGTTTCTAGCGGGTGGGGAGCACAGGTGAGAAGTCAGAACAAAGGCCACCAGTGTGGGTTATGTCTTAGGGAGCGTGGGTCTTCTGGCTGGGCGCGGTGGCTCAGTAATCCCAGCGACTCTGGAGGCTGAGGCAGGAGAATCGCTTGAACCCGGAAAGCGGAGGTTGCAGTGATCCGAGATTGCAGCACTGCACTCCAGCCTGGGTGTGCAGAGCGAGACTCAAAAAAAAAAAAAAAAAAAAAAAAATAGAACAGTTGATCTCCTAGAAGTGAGAGTAGGTGGAGGTTATCAGGGGCTGGGGGTGGTAGGAGAGGAAGATGTTGGTCAAAAAGCACAAGTAGCTGGGTGTGGTGGCTCACGTCTGTAATCCCAGCACTTTGGGAGGCCAAGGCGGGTGGATCACCTGAGACCAGGAGTTTGAGACCAACATGGAGAAACCCCGTCTCTACTAAAAATACAAAAATTAGCCGGGCGTGGTGGCACGCACTTGTAGTCCCAGCTACTCGGGAGGCTGAGGCAGGAGAATCGCTTGAACCCGGGAGGCGGAGGTTGCAGAGTCAAGATCGCGCCACTGCACTCCAGCCTGGGTGACAGAGCAGGACTTCGTCTCAAAAAAAAAAAAAAAAAAAAAGCACAATATTCAGTTATAAGATGAGTTAGTTCTGGGGGTCTGATATATGGGATGGCGATTATGGTTAACACAAGCAGCTTTTAAATGTCTTTACCCCTGCTCCCCGTTACCAGCCAAAGCTGTGAAGTTCCAGGCCCTTGGTGTTTCGAACAAAGAATTGGGTGTGATACACACACATAGCAAAGCGGCATAAGTTTATTAAGCATAGGATTACACTCTTGGAGAGGGGAGAGCAGGCGGACCTCTGCGAAATGAGATCGGCATCAGCTCGCTGTACTTTGGGTCTTTTTTTTTTTTTTTCTTATTAGGAATATACAACCATTTATTCACTGTTCACTAGTATTTACAATAAAGTGAACAAAATACAGTTCAATAACATTCAGATTACCACAAAGTTGTGTTTCCTGGCTTTTACTGAACCAGTAAAGCAGATACTGAAAAGACTGAGCCTATGTGGTTTTTTTTTTTTTTTTTTTGAGATGGAGTCTCGCTCTGTCGCCCAGGCTGGAGTGCAGTGGCACGATTTTGGCTCACCGCAACCTCCGCCTCCCAGGTTCAAGCGATTCTCCTGCCTCAGCCTTCTGAGTAGCTAGGATTACAGGTGCCTACATGTAAGGAATGAGTTGGGGTAAAGAAAAAATACGCGAGTCAGCAGTTTATTTATTTTGAGAGGGAGTCTCGCTCTGTTACCAGGCTGGAGTGCAGTGGTGCAATCTCGGCTTACCACAACCTCTGCCTCCCGGGTTCAAGTGATTCTGCTGCCTCAGCCTCCCGAGTAGCTGAGATTACGGGTGCAAGCCACTGCGCCTGGCTAATATTTTGTATTTTTTAGTAGAGATGGGGTTTTACCGTGTTGGCCAGGCTGCTATTTAATGGAAAAATCAGATTTAGAGAATAAATTTGACCGGCATGAGGCACCAGAATAATGGGAGGGCGTGAGGACCCATGCGATGAGTATATAAATGGGTTGATAAGTAGAAGTTCTCAGGGAGGAAAGCGATGGTGGTGTCCAGACAGCATTTCAAGACCCCTAGTGAGAAGTCTCAAGTTGCAGGCTGTGCCACAGCCCCGTATATACATTCACTCATTTGATATATATTTCCCGAGAACCCCGTTATAGTTGCGGGAGCTGTGAATGCAGCCACTAAATCTGACATAGATCAATTCACACGAGTTCACGGTAGAGGCAGGAAAATGGACATGCATGCCGAATCAGGGTTCAAGTGCTGTTACAGGGAATTAACAGGTGCTTTGGGATGAGGAAAGTGTTGTCTTGGCTGGGCGCAGTGGCTCACGCCTGTAATCCTAGCACTTTGAGAGGCCAAGGCGGGGGGATCACCTGAACTCAGGAGTTTGAGACCACCCAGGGCAACATGATGAAACCCTACCTCTACTAAAGATGCAAAAAAAATTAACCGGGTGTGGTGGCGCGCGCCTCTAGTCCCAGCTACTTGGGAGGCTGAGGAAGGAGAATCGCTTGAGCCCCAGAGGCGAAGGTTGCAGTGAGCTGAGATTGTGCCACTGCACGCCAGCTTGGGCTACAGAGTGAGACTGTCTCAAAAAAAAAAAAAAAAGTGCTATCTTTGTGAAGTCGGAGTTGTGGAAACTCTTGGAGGAAATGATATCTCTGCAGAGCCCTGAAGAACAAGGCAAGGTGTGGATAAAGAAGCAAAGATGGTGGCCGGGTACGGTGACTCACACCTGTAATTCCAGCACTTTGGGAGGCCGAGGCTGGTGGATCACCTGAGGTCAGGAGTTCAAGACCAGTCTGGCCAACATTGTGAAACCCCATTTCTACTAAAAATACAAAAATTAGCCGGGCGTGGTGGTGCATGCCTATAATCCCAGCTATTCAGGAGGCTGAGGCAGGAGAATCATTTGAACCCTGGAGGTGGAGGTGGCAGTGAGCCAAGATTGCACCACTGCATTCCAGCCTGGGTGACAAAAGTGAAACTCGGGGGAAGGGATAGCATTAGGAGATATACCTAATGTTAAATGACGAGTTAGTGGGTGCAGCACACCAACATGGCACATGTATACATATGTAACTAACCTGCACGTTGTGCACATGTACCCTAAAACTTACATTAAAAAAAAAAAAAGTGAAATTCTGTCCCAACAAAACAAACAAAAAAAAAGAAAAAAAAAAAAAAGGAAGAGAAGATGGAATAATTCTGTGGTTAGAAGGAATTGGGGTATGGTTGGGATGCAGCCAGGAGTCACTTATTTTTTTTTTTTCTTTTTTTTTTTGAGACAGAATCTTGCTCTGTCACGTAGGCTGGAGTGCAGTGGTGCGATCTTGGCTCCCTGCAGCCTCCGCCTCCCGGGTTCAAGCTATTCTCCTGCCTCAGCCTCCTGAGTAGCTGGGATTACAAGCACACGCCACCATACCTGGCTAATTTTTATATTTTTAGTAGAGATGTGGTTTCACCATGTTGGCCAGGCTGCTCTCGAACTCCTGACCTCAGGTGATCCTCCCACCTTGGCCTCCCAAAGTGCTGGGATTACAGGCATGAGCCACCGTGCCTGGCCGAGTTTTTGTATTTTTAGTAGAGATGGGGTTTCATCATGTTGGCCAGGCTGGTCTCGAACTCCTGACCTCAGGTGATCTGCCCGCCTCAGCCTCCCAAAGTGTTGGGATTACAGGTGTGAGCCACCGTGCCTGGCAGGATTCACTTATAAAGCTGCTTCTCTACAACTGGTTGTTGCCACAATGCCTCCTGAACCATTTGATACAGACCTATTCTATATTGGTTATTAACTATTTTGAATGGCTTCCTGCAGAGAAAGGAAAGAAAAAAAGACCAAAGTAGGAAAAAAATATTTCCATGGCCATCCTGTTAAAGAAGGAGAGATCTTTTCAGAAAAGACCAGAGTGGTTAAAAGTATGGTTTGCAGTAAGTGGTACAAAAATAGTTAGAGCCTAGAAGAGACCATAGGATTTGTCTACAGAAGAAATTCAGTGGCTGGGCGCAGCGGCTTATGCCTGTAATCCCAGCCCTTTGGGAGGCCAAGGCGGGGAGATCACTTGAGGTCAGGAGTTCGAGACCAGCCAACAGGGAGAAACCCCGTCTCCACTAAAAATACAAAATTAGCTGGGGTGGTGGCACATGCCTGTAATCCCAGCTACTCAGGAGGCTGAGGCAGGAGAATCACTTGAACCCGAGGGATGGAGAGCTAGAGGTTGCAGTGAGCCAAGATCGCGCCATTGCACTCCAGCCTGGGCAACAAGAGAAAACTCTGTCTCAAAAAAAAAAAAAAAGAAATTTAGCATGTAGTTCTCCCACCCTCTGCATCGTCCGGGATGCTCTGACAAATGGAATGCCAGTGTCCCTCTTTCCCTGCAGTGACTCCCTCCTCCGTGGGTCCAACACAGAGCTCACGCCGCCCAGGCTCAACACCAGCTTTCAGATCCACCCATGGCCACTGTGTCTCATGGTCATTCTTCAAAGAGTCTGTGTGTTCAGCCTTCTCCTGCCTTCCCAAGTGGAAGCTCTGCTGGCTCGCTCTCTAGTCCTCTTCCTGCTGAGCCAGTCTTCAACCAGGAACCACACTAGAGCCACCAGGACTAGAAAGGCCAGGCCCATCCGAAGGAGATTCTGGGCAGTGTGATCCCAGAGGGCATGGTCTGTAGGCAGGAGAACAGGGTGATCGCTGACAGGGATGTAAGGACACCCTCTTTTTTTTTTTTTTTTTTTTTTTTTTTGAGACAGAGCCTCAGTCTTGTCGCCCAGGCTGGAGTGCAATGGCACGATCTCGGCTCACTGCAACCTCCACTTCCTGGGTTCAAGCTATTCTCCTGTCTCAGCCTCCCAAGTAGCTGGGACTACAGGCACACGCCACCACGCCTGGCTAATTTTTTTGTATTTTTAGTAGAGATGGGATTTCGCCATGTTGGCCAGACTGGTCTTGAACTCCCGACCTCAGATGATCTGCCCGCCTCGGCCTCCCAAAGGGCTGAGATTACAGGTGTGAGCTACTGCGCCTGGCCAAGGACACCCTCTTGTTCCCATTTAGATTCCCTTCCTAGGTCTACTCTATGCCCAGCCCCTTCCTTCAGAGCCTATGGCCCCAGCTGTCTACTTACCTTTCTGGAGTCCCGTCTCTGTGGTTAAAAGGTAGGTGCCCCAAGTGTCTGCTGATGATAAGGGAAGTGAAGAAAAGAGGATGGTTTTGACCTCCTCCACCCCAGCACTCCTTCCCTTGGGTCTACCCCATGACGTTCTGCAGCTTTACAAGGTCCCACCTCACCCTGCGGGTCCCAGGAGCTTCATCCAGCAGGTAAAGTGGAAGGGTCCACAGATGGACGAACCTGACGAGGAATTCCATTCTAGCACTTGTGAGCATGTGTCTTTGCACCAGTCATGTCTTCTATTTTTTTTTTTTTTGAGATAGAGTCTCACTGTGTTCCAGCCTCTGGAGTAGCTGGGACTACAGGCACACACCACATACCCAGGTAATTTTTTTCATATTTTTAGTAGAAACGGGGTTTTGCCATGTTGGCCAGGCTGGTCTTGAACTCCCAACCTCAGATGACCTGCCTGCTTCGGCCTCCCAAAGGGCTGGGATGACAGGCCTCTGAGGCTGGAGTACAGTGGTGTGATCTCAGCTCACTGCAACCTCCGCCTCCCGAGTTCAAGCAATCCTCTTGCTTCAGCCCCGAGTAGCTGTAATTACTGGCGTGCGCCACCACACCCAACTCATGTTTGTATTTTTAGTAGAGATGGGGTTTCACTGTGTTGGCCAGGCTGGTCTTGAACTCCTGACCTCAAGTGATCCAGCCGCCCCTGCCTTCCAAAGTGCTGGGATTACATGCGGGAGCCACCCGGCCCAGCCCGTCTTCTATTTAAGCCTCATTTTCCTCATTAAGTCATCATTACCTCTTTCTCCTCACACATACACACATAGTGAAATTCAAAGTCTCACTATTTTTTTTTCTTTTTCTTTTTCTTTTTTTTTTTTTTTGAGACGGAGTCTCACTCTGTCGCTCAGGCTGGAGTGCAGTGGCGCGATCTCAGCTCACTGCAAGCTCCGTCTCCCGGGTTCACGCCATTCTCCTGCCTCAGCCTCTTGTGTAGCTGGGACTACAGGCGCCCGCCACCACGCCCGGATAATTTTTGTATTTTTTTTTAGTAGAGACAGGGTTTCACCGTGTTAGCCAGGATGGTCTTGATCTCCTGACCTCATGACCCACCTGCCTCGGTTTCCCAAAGTGCTGGGATTACAGGCGTGAGCCACCGCGCCGGGCCTCACTCCTGTAATCCTAGCCGTGCGCCCCAGGCCCATCCCACCGTCATCTTCCAAACATCATTTTCAACCCTCCTGGCCTCATAGTTATTATTGTATTACCCCAGTTATCTTCCTGCCCCAGGGCACAGGCAGATGCCATTTCATTCTCTCCAGAGCCTCCTTTCTCCTGACAGCCACATGATTAACTCAAGTCTGAACGCATTTGCTCAGATGCCTTCTTTCTCTGTGAGGTCCATCTGGACAAACCTATTTAATATTGCTAGCTGCCATTTCAATCACTGTAAGTCTGTTCTACTTTGTCTTTTCCTTCCATAGCATCATTCCCTCCTGTGTGCTATCCTGACGTTGACCGATGGTGTGTCTCCTCCTGCTAGAATCTAAGTGCTGCAGAGTCAAGATATCTGCCTGGCTGACTGTTACAGTGTAGTTCACTGTGTATACTATGCACTTGATGAATATATATATATAATAGTTTTGTTTTTTTCTGTGAGATGGAGTCTCGCTGTGTCGTGCAGTGGAGTGGAATGCAGTGGCGCGATCTCAGCTCACTGCAACCTCTGCATCCCAGGTTCAACAATTCTCCTGCCTCAGCCTCCTGAGTAGCTGGGATTACAGGCGAGCACCACCAGGCCCGGCTAATTTTTGTATTTTTAGTAGAGATGGGGTTTCACCATGTTGGTCAGGCTGGTCTCGAATTCCTGACCTTGTGATCCAACCACCTTGGCCTCCCGAAGTGTTGGGATTACAGGTGTGAGCCATGATGCCCAGCCTAAGTTTTGTATTTTTAGTAGAGACAGGGTTTCGCCATGTTGGCCAGGCTGGTCTCAAACTCCTGACCTCAAATGATGCACCATCTCGGCCTCCCAAAGTGCTGGGATTACAGGCGTGAGCCACCACGCCTGGCCTCGATGAATATTTTGAATGAATGCCACGTTTTTAGTGTCACTGGGAGGCTCTGATCGCTCGTCTGAGCTTAGAAGGACCAGTTACTCACCAGGAAAGGTGGGGTCTTCAGGTGCAAGGCTGGTGTTCTCAATGTCGCCTGGAAAAGGAGATAAAGAAAAAAAAGTAAGGGTTTTTGGTTTCCTCCGGTCTTGCCATTCTTTTTTTTTTTTTTTTTTTTTTGAGATGGAGTCTTGCTCTGTCGCCCAGGTTGCAGTGCGGTGGTATGATCTCGGTTCACTACAACCCCCGCCTCCCGGGTTCAAGCAATTCTCCTGCCTCAGCCTCCTGAGTAGCTGGGACTACAGGTGTCCGCCACTGCGTCTGGCTAATTTCTGTATTTTTAGTAGAGACGGGGTTTCACCGTCTTGGCCAGGCTGGTCTCGAACTCCTGACCTTGTGATCCACCCGCCTTACCATTCCTTTCTCTGCTCCCTCCTCCTTCCTGCTTCTGGTGTTCTTCCTCACATGACCAACCAGGCACCCAGGAAGTGGACGTCCCTTGGACACCCTCCCCATCACTCTCTGGGGATCCCTCAGGGCTCCAGGTAGGACATGGCGGCGAAGGGTGTGGGGAATTGAGCATTTCCTCACCTGTGACCAGGAGCTTCACTGGCTCACTGGGGAAAGACCAGGCATGGTTGTTATAGGAGCCAAAACATCGGTATGTCCCTCGGTGGGCTGTGGTCACAGGGCCCAGGGGGAACTCCGCCTGGACCTTCCCGTATCCGCGCTGTACGTGGCTGGATCTTCCCTCCTTGAGCAGTAAGAACATGCTTGTTGCAGTGTCTAGACGGCAGTAGAAGGTCACCTTCTCTCCCGAGATCACTTCGGGTCCAGGATGAACCGAGAGGGTGGGTGTGTCATACATTTCTATGAGAGAAGGTGGGGCCACCACACCAGAAACTCAGTGATGAGCAGCCAGCTATTTTTTTTTTTCTTTCTTTAGAGATGGAGTCTCTCTCTGTCGCCCAGGCTGGAGTGCAGTGACACGATCTTGGCTCACTGCAACCTCTGCCTCCCGGGTTCAAGCGTTTCTCCTGCCTCACCCTCCCAAGTAGCTGGGACTACAGGGGCCTGCCACCATGCCTGGCAGCCAGCTTTTTTTTTTTTTTTAATTATTATTTTGGTCAAATACACACAATAGAAGATTTACCGTCTAAAACCATTTTTAAAAATGATACAGGGTCTTGCTCTGTTTCCCAGGCTGGAGCGCCGTGGCACTATCTTTGCTTACTGAAGACTCGACCTCCTGGGTCAGGAGTTTGAGACCAGCCTGGTCAACATGGTGAAACCCCGTCTCTACTAAAAATGCAAAAATTAGCCGGGTGTGGTGGCACATGCCTGTAATCTCAACTACTTGGGAGGCTGAGGCAGGAGAATTGAGGCTGAGGCAGAGGTTGCAGTGAGCTGAGATTGTACCACTGCACTGCAGCGAGACTGTCTCAAAAAAAAAAAAAAAAAGCCCCGGCCAGCCGCCCCGTCCGGGAGGTTGGGGGGCAGCCCCCGCCCGGCCACTGCCCCGTCTGGGAGGTGGGGGGGCGCCTCTGCCCGGCCGCCCCGTCTGGGAAGTGAGGAGCCCCTCTGCCCGGCCGCCACCCCGTCTGGGAGGTGTACCCAACAGCTCATTGAGAATGGGCCATGATGACGATGGCGGTTTTGTCGAATAGAAAAAGGGGAAATGTGGGGAAAAGAAAGAGAGATCAGATTGTTACTGTGTCTGTGTAGAAAGAAGTAGACATAGGAGACTCCATTTTGTTCTGTACTAAGACAAATTCTTCTGCCTTGGGATGCTGTTAATCTATGACCTTACCCCCAACCCCGTGCTCTCTGAAACATGTGCTATGTCCACTCAGGGTTAAATGGATTAAGGGCGGTGCAAGATGTGCTTTGTTAAACAGATGCTTGAAGGCAGCATGCTCCTTAAGAGTCATCACCACTCCCTAATCTCAAGTACCCAGGGACACAAACACTGCGGAAGGCCGCAGGGACCTCTGCCTAGGAAAGCCAGAGACCTTTGTTCACATGTTTATCTGCTGACCTTCTCTCCACTATTGTCCTATGACCCTGCCAAATCCCCCTCTCCGAGAAACACCCAAGAATGATCAATAAATACTAAAAAAATTAAAAAAAAAAGAATAAATGAGTAGCTGTGTTCCCCTGCCAGAACCTCCAAACAAGGTCCAAAGACCCTGAGCAAATGAAAAGGCACAGACAAAAAATATATATATTTCAACACAAGTATATGACACAGAATATAGAAATAACTTTTCCTAATCAATCAAAATATAAGCAACCCAATTTAAAAATAGGCAAAAGATTTAAATAGACATTTCACAAAAGAAGATATTTGAATGGACATGAAATACTGTTGTGAGCTGCATAATGACATTTTGGCCAACAATGTACCACATATATGATGGTGGTCCCATAAGATTATAATGAAACTGAAAAATTCCTATTGCCTGATGACATCATAGCCTTCCTAGCACAAAGTATTGCTCATGTGTTTTTGGTGTTGCTGGTATAAACAAACCTAATTGTATAGCACATACAATTATGTATGTATATGTAACTATGTATAATACTTGATAATAATAATAAACAACCATATTGTTAAAAAAAAAAAAAGCTAATTTTTTTTTTTTTTTTTAGAAAACCACCACCTGGCTGGGTGTGATGGCTCACACCTGTAATCCCAGCACTTTGGGAGGGTGAGGCGGGCGGATCATCTGAGGTCAGGAGTTCGACACCACCCTGGCCAACATGGTGAAACCCCATCTCTACTAAAAATACAAAATGTGGCGTAGTGGTGGGTGCCTGTGATCCCAGCTACTTGGGAAGCTGAGGCTGGAGAATCACTTGAACCCAGGAGGTGGAGGTTGCAGTGACTGGAGATTGCACCACTGCACTCCAGCCTGGGTGACAAGAGCGAAACTCCGTCTCAAAACAGATAAAAAAAAAAAAAACCCACCACCTGTGATGGGTGAGGGAAGCAAAGTGTAAGCCACTGCGCCTAGCCCACAGGCATTGTTTTTGAGGACATTCCTCAGTCATACCCCTGCATACAAATATCTATCTCAGAATCTGTGTCATGGAGAAACTGACTGAGGACACATCTGCTCCTAGGACGTAGAGACACGGTCTGCAGACAACCCCTTGTAGGCAAGGATTGTGATGGGGATCACCCCTCCTTCCAGCCTCCTACCGAGACAAGCAGTGTCTGAGTGGGGCTTGGAAGAGTTCATAGATGATGCTGCATCCCGGATGCAGACTGAGATCACTCTCCAGTTAGAGAACCGGACAGTTACCTGTTACCACCAGATCCAGCAAGTTGCTGGGCTCTGACCAGAGCTCCCCAACCCGATAGATGCAGCTGTATTGCCCTGCCATGCGGGAGTTCATGTCCGGGATGTAGAATTTGACTTTGTTAATCCGCTCAGGGGGTTTTGGTCTGTCCACGGCAAAAAGGCTTCCTTCAAAGTGCAGCTGGTATTCAACAGCCCCATAATTTCCCTGGCAACAGATGGTCACTTGCTTTTCCTTTGGAACCATGAAATGGGGCTCGGCCCAGATGAACGGTTTTGGGAGAGTCTCTGGAAGGGAATCAGAGGCTGGAGTTCCAGCGGAGCCCCCTCCCCCCAACCTTAGGCTCCACCCAGCTGCTGGCCCCAAGCTCTCCTGGGAAGCCAGCACCCTGTCCCCTCTCCCCAGCCGTGCTTGGGTGGAAGGAGCTTGGCCTGAACCCGGAAGAGTGACCCTGGGCTTTGAAGGAAGGACTCACGCTGCTGGGCGCTGATCCTCTGACTCAGACACAGCCCTGGAAGACGGGAGTAATGAGACCTGTTGCCTCCCAGGCACACCGTGATCCCATTCCCCTTCCACGCCAGAACTCACCGACGCAGAGCAGGGCAGGGAGTGTGGAAGACATCGCTCAGATTCTGCCGGCCTAGTGCTGAGCAGTGGGGACTGAGCCGGGCGGGCCAGGGAGATAGATACACAGGAAGTGGTGGGTGAGCACCAGCGCCCATCACCAGAGCGCTTTCACGTTGACTGCTTTCATCAGAACGTTCACAACTCCCCTCCGCCTCTGACCATGAGCTTACAGAAAGGCCGTGGTCCCTCTGACACATCTGTGGTCTAGCCAGCAACTCTGACAATTGTCTGCTCAGCCCAAAATGCATTTCTGGGTCAACTTCTCAATTCTGCAATGTGGAGGTCGTACCCAGAGCTGACTGTGGGAAGTTGTGCCCAATCATGCCCAGAGGAAACCCCCTGAGAATCGTATAAAAACATAGGGAGTTTCACAGTGAGATACTGGAACAGGAATTAAAAGAAATTACAGAATGTGTAAACAAAAACTCAGTTGTATTTAAGAAAACCCAGTTCCCCCCGAGGAAGAGAAAGAGGTGGAGTCCTTTAAACATGAACTGCCTGTTTTTCTGTCTGTGGCTAGTGAGCCTTATCTCTCCCTTTCCCAGGCATTGTGAAGACCCTGTTTCTCTTGCCGTGCGGCTGCAAGATCACTAGACAGGATAACCTCAAGTCGTAAAACATATTTTTCTTGAAAAGTAAGGAATAATGTGATGCATGTCTCAATTGAATAACTGCCTTTGTTTCTTGCTTCTGTAATATGCTTCCCCCTGCACAGATCTCCCCCAACCCCACAAAATGCTTAAAAGGTAACCGGACTCTCTGTTCGAGCCTCAGTCTTTTTGGATGTTAATCTGACTGGGGCCGGTGCACCTAAATAATAATAATAATAATAAATCCTCCTCAACCCCTCGGTCTCTCTGATTCCTAAATTATCCCTCAACAATACCATCTCACACCAGTCAGAATGGCCATTACTGAAAAGCCAGAAATTAACAGATGCTGGTGAGATTGTGGAGCAAAGGGGACACTTATACACTGTTGGTGGGTGTAAATTAGTTCAGCCACTGTGGAAAGCAGTTTGGTTTGGAGATATTTCAGAGAACTACAAACAGAGTTACCATTCAGCCCAGCAATCCCATCGCTGGGTATATAGCCAAAGGAAAATAAATCATTCTACCAAAAAGACACATGCACTTGTATGTTCATTGCAGCAGGATTCACAATAGTGAAGACATGGAATCCACCCAGGTCCCATCAGAGGTGGACTGGATAAAGACAATGTGATATGTATACACCACAGAACGCTATACAGCCTTGAAAAATCACAAGATTATGTCCTTTGCAGCAACATGGATGCAGCTAGAGGCCATTATCCTAAGCGAGTTAACACAGAAACAGAAAACCAAATACTGGCCAGACACGGTGGCTCACGCCTGTCATCCCAGCACTTTGGGAGGCTGAGGCAGGTGGATCACCTTAGGTCGGGAGTTCGAGACCAGCCTGACCAACATGCAGAAACCCTGTCTCTACTAAAAATTCAAAATTAGCCGGGTGTGGTGGCACATGCCTGTAGTCCCAACTACTCGGGAGGCTGAGGCAGGAGAATTGCTTGAACCTGGAAGGTGAAGGTTGCAGTGAGCCGAGATGGTGCCATTGTACTCCAGCCTGGGCAACAAGAGTGAAACTCCATCTCAAAAAAAAAAAAAAAAAAGAAAAGAAAACCAAATACCACATGTTCTCACTTATAAGTGAGAGCGCTAAACATTGGGTAAGGAGGGGAGCAAGGCTTGAAAATCTACCTATTTGGTGACTAGATCATTAATGCAAGCCTCAGCATCATGCAATATACTCATAAAAAACCTGCACATGTATCTGCTGAATCTAAAAAGATAAAAATAGGGGTTTTGACGTTGGCTTCTCTGTGTACAGTATACATATGCTTGGATAAGTTAATTGGTTTCATCAGAATGGAATGATAACACTAACTTCTTCAAAGATAGTGTTATAATGTTTCAATAAAATAAAAGTGAAAAGAAAAGCTTTTCATTTAAAGAACTTAATAAGAAAAGAAACATTTCTTTTCTTTTTCTTTTTCTTTCTTTTTTTTTTTTTTTGAGACAGAGTCTTGCTCTGTTGCCCAGGCTGTGGTGCAGTGGTGTGATCTCAGCTCACTGCAACCTCTGCCTTGTGGGTTCAAGCAATTCTCCTGCCTCAGCCACCTGAGTAGCTGGGACTACAGACACCCAACACCACGCCCAGCTCATTTTTGTACTTTTAGTAGAGACCGGTTTTTACCACGTTGGCCAGGATGGTCTCCAACTCCTCACCTCAAGTGAATCTTCCTGCCTCGGCCTCTCAAAGTGCTGGGATTACAGGTGTGAGCCACCACACCCAGCCAAGAAACATTTCTTTTAAGTAAGTAACTAACTCTCCACTTAATAAAAAAAAATTCTATGCAGAAGTTGTTAAGATCTACAGTAAGAAAAAAGAAATTCATGCATTTTATATATACACACATATATACATATATACCTTTTATATATATACACATATATACATTTATACATATATGTATACATATATACATATATGTGTATATATACTGCATAGTACCGTACATGTATATATACACATGCATATATACACATACATGTATATGCGTATATATACACATATATGTATATATACACACATGCATACATGCATATATATGTATACACACATGTATGCGTGTATACATACATATATGTATATACATACATGTATGCGTGTATACATACATATATGTATATACATACATATATGCGTGTATACATACATGTATGCGTGTATACATACATATACATATATGTATATACATACATGTATATATACATGTATGTATATATGCATATATGTATATACATACATGCATATATACATGTATGTATACATATACGTATATGTGTATATATGTATATACATATATATATACATGTAAGGTACTATGTAGTTTTCAGCATCCACTGGGGCCTTGGAATATATCCTGGTGGATACATGTGACTACTGTACAAGACTAGTTGTATCTTCTTGAGGCAAACAAATGTGCTAATTCTTTTTTTTTTCTCTTTAAGACGGAATCTCACTCTGTCCCTCAAGCTGGGGTGCAGTGGTGCAATCTCAGCTCACTGCAACCTTCACCTCCTGGGTTCAAGCAATTCTCCTGTTCTAGCCTCCCAAGTAGCTGGGATTACAGGCGTGTGCCACCACACTCGACTAATTTTTGTATTTTTAGTAGAGACAGGGTTTCCCCATGTTGGCCAGGCTAGTCTCGAACTCTTGACCTCAAGTGATCAGCCCACTTTAGCCTCCCAAAGTGCTGGGATTACAGGCGTGAGCCACCACACCCAGCCCGCCTCCTTCTTATTTACTGAAGATTCAGTACTCGGTGCTGGCGTTTCCCCTTACACAGCTGTCATAACTCTGGGTGTTTTCTTTATCCTTCCCCCTACGGAGCGCTTGGATGCCCTCTATGGAGGAGACTTATGTAGGCTGGATCCTCAGACCTCAGCCACCCTCTCAGCCATAACATAGTTACCTTCACCAAAGAAATATAAGAATATTGTCTTTTATTATTTTGAGCTTTTAATTTTGACATAATTCCAGACTTGCAAAAATAGTTTAAAGAATTTCTGGCCAGGTGCAGTGGCTCACACCTGTAATCCCAGCACTTTGGGAGGCCGAGGTGGGTGGATTGCTTGAGACGAGCCTGGGGGAAAAAAAAATGCAAAAATTAGCCAGGTGTGGTGCTGTGCGCCTATAGTCCCAGCTACTTGGGAGGCTGAGGTGAGAGGGTCATCTGAGCCCAGGGAGGTAGAAGCTGCAGTGAGCCATGATCGTGCCACTGCACTCTAGCCTGGGTGACAGAGTGTTACCCTGTCTATAAAAAAAAAAAAAATCTGTAATTTCTTCATCCAGATTTCCCCAAAGTTAGCATTTTACCACATTTGCTTCATCATTCAGCCTCTCTCCCTCTCCCTCTCTCCCCGAAGAAAGTGTGTCTAATTTGCATATGATGCCCTAAACCTCTAATCACTTCAGGTTATATTTCCCAAAACCAAGGACATTCTGTTATTAATGTTCAAGGTCAAGAAATAGCACTGATATGACACTATTGTCTGATCTATCCACTTTATTCAAATTTCACCACTTGTTTTACCAGTGACATATATTTGGTTTAGGATTTAATCCAAGATTACACAATTTATTTAATTGTCATGTCTCTCTTATTTGGAGATGGAATCTTGCTCTGTAGCCCAGGCTGGAGTGCAATGGTGTGATCTCAGCTCACTGCAACCTCCGCCTCCTGGGTTCAAGCAATTCTCCTGCCTCAGCTTCCTGAGTAGCTGGGATTAGAGGCACCCACAACCACGCCCAGCTAATTTTTGTATTTCTAGTAGAGATGGGGTTTCGTCAAGTTGGCCAGGCTGGTTTCGAACTCCTGAACTCAACTGATCCACCTGCCTCAGCCTCCCAAAGTGCTGGGATTAGAGGCATGAGCCACCACGCCCAGCCTCCTTTAAAAAATAAAACTATAGACTTTATTCTGATTTCACCAGTTTTTCCACTAGCATCCTTTCTTCGCTCCAGGAGCTCCAGTGATCCGCCTGCCTCAGCCTCCCACCTGCCTCGGCCTCCCAAGGTATTGGGATTACAGGTGTGAGCCATCTGGATCTATTTAATTCAGCCTTAAGCCCACACCAGCATTCCTGGGACTGTCCCCCCTCTACAGACTCTAAGCCATGTTTGAGATGATGAATTTCAAGTCGTGATTCAATCACTTAAGTGGTAAGTGACACAGAGGATATTACTAATCTTTTTTTTTTTTTTTTTGAGATGGACTCTTGCTCTGTCACCCATGCTGGAGTGCAGTGGCGCAATCTCGGCTCGCTGCAAGCTCTGCCTCCGGGGTTTATGCCATTCTCTTGCCTCAGCCTCCTGAGTGGCGCAATCTCGACTCACTGCAAGCTCTGCCTCCCGAGTTTATGCCATTCTCCTGCCTCAGCCTCCTGAGTAGCTAGGACTACAGGTGCCCACCACCACGTCCGGGTAATCTTTTTTTTTTTTTTTTTTTTTTCAAAGTAGAGATGGGGTTTCACCATGTTAGCCAGGATGGTCTCCATCTCCTGACCTCGTGATCCGCCCTTCTCGGCCTCCCAAAGTGCTGGGATTACAGGCGTGAGCCACCGCACCCGGCCTTTTTTTGGTATTTAAAAATATAACTTTATTGAGATATAATTTACATGCCATACAATTACCCATTAAAAGTGCATAATTCAATGGTTTAAATTTTGTGGTATTCACGGAGTTGGTGCAACCGTCAACACAGTCTAATTTTAGAATGTTGTCATCACTGCCCTTCAGAACCCCATGCCGACCAGCTGCCCATCACCACGATCCCCTCACTCTCCCGGCCCTAGGCAACCACTCATCTTCTGTCTCTAAACACCAGAAGGTACTTTTCAAAAATTGTGGCAAAATACACATAACATACATTTTAATATTTAAGAAGTTTTCTAAGGCCAGGTGCAGTGGGTCATGCCTGTAATCCCAGCACTTTGGGAGGCCGAGGTGTGCGGATCACCAGGTCAGGTGATCCAGACTGTCAGGCCTCTGAGCCCAAGCTAAGCCATCATATCCCCCTG